>NC_000017.11:488987-490395 GCF_000001405.40 Homo sapiens | reverse complement strand
CGGGAGCGGCGAGCCGCCGTCTCCTCCCTTCGGGGTGGCGGTCCCGGGGCTGCCGGGCTGCGGGTCGGCCACATTCCTGCCTTTGCCGGGCGGGGGGGGCGCCTGGAGGGAACCCCGGCCCGACACCCCGCGGCTTTGGGCTCCCACGGGGCCGCGCGCCTCTTCCCAGCCGGGCCCCCCATCCCGGGGCAGAGGGCCCAGAGCCTTCCTCGACCTTGGGAGAAAGGTCCCTCCCCAGCCTGCGGCCTCCCGGGGCCCCCTCTTGGCCTGAACACCGGGAACCCGGTGTCCCTCACATGACGGGTGGGAGGCCTTTGGGTGGGTGGAAACTTTCACGGAGTAATCCTCTTGCTTTACTTTAAAATGTTCATTTAAAGAAAAGACTCCACCGAATCTTTTGCCCTGGGACTCGCTCGGATGTTGGTGTTTGCTGCCTTTACTTAGAACTCTGGGGAAGCCACATCCTGCCCGCGGTCTCAGAAAAGCTGGAGCGGGGCCGCAGCCCGGCCCTGCCCCCCGGCATGGGGACTTCCTCCCCCCGGTGAAGGCGGCCGCTGCCGTCCCTAGGGATCCCCACGAGAGGTTCCTGGGGACCCCCACGGGAGCCCCGGCGGTGCTGGTGGTCTCGCCCCTCCCACCCTGTCTCTCGGTGGGCATCAGGGCAGTTTCCTCATCGCCATCCCAAGGCGGGGCTGGCTTCAACTTGGCCTTCAGCGCCCTCCCGTCCGGCCCCATCTGGCCTCGTCGTCCACCTGCCCTGGCCACAGGCCGGACACATGCACCACACCAGCGCTTCTGCTGCCGCCCTCCACCCGCGTGCCCAGGGCCTCTTACCTCTCCCAGGAGGCGTCCTGCTGGCCCCTCAATGCCCAGCTCATGTCACCTCCTCTGGGAGGCCTTCCTTGATGCTTCCCAGGGGCCAGAGTCCACGACGACATCCCCATTCCTGTGGCCCTTCGTTCATGTGTCTGTTATGACCTCCGCTGCCTCACATCACCCCAGCCCCAGCCTGGAGCGAGGGYCGTGCTCAGGGAGGGTCTGTCGGGTGGGCAGGGATGGAAAAGCAGAGAAGGCGACAGAACCGAGTGCTCCTGCCGATGCCTGGAGGAAGGCGGTAGGGGGTTCAGAGATCACCCACCTTCCCATGAGGTGCCCCCTTCTGTTGGGCAGGGTCTGGCAGCCAGAGAGTGGGGGCAGAGCAGGGCCTACTGTCACTATTTGGAGGCTGTTTGCAGAAGCCAATGCCCACACCTTATGTGCCCTCCCCCCCACACCTTAGGTACCCCCCCAACACACACACACCTTATGTACCCCCCAACACACACACACACACCTTATATACCCCCAACACACACAAACACACACACACACCTTATATACCCCCAACACACACAAACACACACACACA
>NC_000017.11:360000-448188 GCF_000001405.40 Homo sapiens | reverse complement strand
CACACGCACACACCTTATATACCCAACACACACACACACACACACACACCTTATGTACCCCCAACACACACATACCTTATGTACCCCCAACACACACACACCTTATGTACCCTCCCCCCAACACAAACACACACACACCTTATGTACCCTCCCCCCAACACACACACAAACACCTTATGTACCCTCCCCTGCCACACACACACACAATTCACTGACCTTGGCTCCCACCCACCGCCCCTCGTCTAGCCCGGCCTTGCTAAGCCTCCACCCAGGTTCAGGACCTGGACCCTCAGGGCCCTCTGCGTCTCTGTTCTGGTCCCCTTTGGCTTTCGCATTTCCACCCCATGCCCCTACTTGACACACCTTGTCCTGGTCTCAGGATAAAGGTCTCAGAGCCAACCTTCTAGAAACGTTTGCCTCCTTCTCTGTCCTCGGGAGATGTGGGGGTGGGGCTGCCAACTCCACACCCTGGCGCAAATGTACATCCTTCTCTCAAATTAGGCAAAAAAAATGATAGATCCCGAGTGAACCAGGGAACATAAAGGGCTTCCGAGTTCAGGCTCTGCACCGTGTTTATCTTTGCACTCTTTAACACGGAAGCCCTGATCCTGCAAATTGGGTGAAAACTAGCCCCATGTCTAGGATGTAACTGACTTCTAGTGAGCCTTCTTGGTTAATCAGAACGTCCCATGCATTGGCCGGGCTGGAAGTCCTGCTGTGCTCTGGTTCACTGAGTATTCTGGATAGCGGAAAGTGACAGGAAGAACATGTGGTGTCCGTCTCTCTTTTTTTTTTTTTTTTTTTTTTGACACAGAGTCCCACTCTGTCGCCCAGGCTGGAGTGCAGTGGCATGATCTCGGCTCACTGCAACCTCTGTCTCCTGGGTTCAAGCGATTCCCGTGCCTCAGCCTTCCTAGTAGCTGGGACTTCAGGCACACAGCACCATGCCTGGCTCATTTTTGTATTTTTAGTAGAGACGGGGTTTCGCCACGTTGGCCAGGCTGGTGTCGAACTCCCAACCTCGGGTGAGCCACCTGCCTTGGCCTCCCAAAGTGCTGGGATTACAGGTGTGAGCTACTGTGCCCGGCCTGGTGTCCATCTTACCAATGAAAGTTTTTTCTTTAAAGACAGAGTCTATTGTTCTGCCCGCTTTGTTGCCTAGACTGGAGTGTAGTGGCGATCTCAGCTCATTGCAGCCTCAACCTCCCAGGCTCAAACGATCCTCCCACCTAAGCCTCCTGAGTAGCTGGGACTACAGGCGCGTACCACCACACCCAGCTAATTGTTGTATTTTTTGTAGAGATGGGGTCTTGCCATGTTGTCCAGGCTGGTCTCAAACTCCTGGGCGCAAGGGATCCTCCCACCTCCACCTCCCAAAATGCTGGGATTACAGGTGTGGGCCACTGCGCTTGGCCAGATTGAATCTTTAGTTAGAAAACAAAAAATTCCCTGGTAGCATATTTTTTGTTTTGACCTTTTCTAGAGTGTTGCTGAGACGGTGACAGAGGGAGCGCTGTCGAATTGAGGATTCGGGTGAAGTGAGCCTCGGCTCACCAGGGTTTCTCACCGCAGGGCGAGGGGTGGCAGTCTGGCTTGAGTTTGTTTCCTCTTTGCAGCTTTTCACACAACCTTAGCAGTGAAAGGGGGCATCCACTTTGCTGTGTTGATAGGGTCACAGGGCTTGTGATGTGGCTCCTCTGAGGGCTCACGGCACGGTCGTGGTCAACCTGGGATTTGAACCCAGACCTCTCTGCTCCCTGTCCAGCGTTTCTCTGGTGTGCCCAGCATGGGGGACACAGATCCCAGTTGGGCCCATCAGCTGGAGGCTCAGACCCACAGCCTTCTGTGGGCAATGCTTAGAAATGGCCCGTGGGGGCCGGGTGCGGTGGCTCACGCCTGTAATCCCAGCACTTTGGGAGGCCGAGGTGGGCGGATCATCTGAGGTCAGGAGTTCGAGACCAGCCTGGCCAACATGACGAAACCCCGTCTCTACTAAAAATACAAAAAAAAAAAAAAATTGGCCAAGCGTGGTGGCACATGCCTGTAATTCCAGCTACTCAGGAGGCTGAGGCAGGCGAATTGCTTGAACCTGGGAGGCAGAGGTTGCAGTGAGCTGAGATTGTACGATTGCACTCCAGCCTGGGTAACAGAGCGAGACTCTGTCTCACAAAAATAAAAAATAAAAAAAAATAAAAAATAAAAGAAATGGCCCGTAAGAGCTCTAACTGCATTCTTCTCTGTCCTTGAAGAGTCCAGCGTCTCTCCCCCTGGCTCCCGGCTGTGCGCTGAGGCTTTGTCCCCTGTCCTTTGGCGAAGGAGTGGAGTTTGACCCCTTACCACCAAAGGAAGTAAGGTAAATATAGCAGGCCCCAATTTTATTCTTTTTTTTTTTTTAACAATTTTTATTTTTTATTCCAGATATTAATGCTTGTTGTTATAAAAAATTAGTTAATTGCAAAAGTATGACAGAGATGATTAATAGTTTGGTGGGTCCTCTTTCTGTTCCTGCATTCTAACCAATTAAATATATAGACATGCTTTTAAAATTAAAATAAAAATGAGATCATGTTATGTATAAAGTTCTGCATTTTCTTTTTGCAATTCATGTATCATGGCTGTCAGAGGGTTACAATTTTGTCAAATATTAATTCTTCTTTCCAGAAGCTGCTGTACCCTACTCCCTTACCTGCCAACCCAGTCTCTGAGGTCTTTTAACCTTGTCTCATAGTATAATTTCACTAGGCAAGCGCTGGTCTTCCTCTGGGGATTATCTCATCCAGGATTATCTGGGGGCAAAGATGCATTGAAAGGCTCAGGTAAAGAGAGGTCTTTTTAGAGAAAGGAGTTTTACTTTTGGTACCTGATGGTTTGATAGCTGGAGTTTCTGCTGCAGTAACACAAAGGCCCCTTTGACATGGAACAAAGACGAGGTTCATCAGTTGGGAGGTGAGCAGTTCAGCCTTTTGTTCCTGTGGAGCTTGTATTTTGAACAAAATGGGGCCATGACTCCCACCAGCCTCTTAACTACTTGCCTGAGGAGGAGAGATGAAATTTCCGTTCCACTCACAGAAAAGAATTCTGATTCTTACTCACCTGACCAGTGGGTAGGGGCTGGTTGGAGGCAGTGCTGTTAGATGTGTCTGTATGTGACGCTCATACTCTTTTCAGTATCTACAAAGCTATAAGCATTCAGTAAAATGCATTAAAGCTTTGCTTCTGTAAGAAAAGTAACTTTTGGGCCAGGCACGGTGGCTCACGCCTAGAATCCAGCATTCTGGCAGACTGAAGCAGGAGTTCGAGACCAGCCTGGGCAACAACAGTGAAACCCTGTCTCTACAAAAAATACAAAAATTACCTGGGAATGGTGGTGCACGCCTGTAGTCCCAGCTACGCAGGAGGCTGAGGTGAGAGGATCGCTTGGGCCCAGGAGGTGGAGGCTGTGGTGAGCTGAGACCACCCCACTGCACCACTCCAGAGTGGGCGAGAAAGCGAGACTCCATTTCCGAAAAACAAAAAAAAAAAAAAGAAAGAAAAGAAAAGAAAACTGACTCCCAAAATTAAAAGAAGGACTTGAAAAAATTAAATGCCTGAGGAACACAGATGCTAATTTATCTTATGGAAATCAAGATGATAATTGGCTTTCATTGATAAGTCAGATACCCAGATATGTAGGTTTAGGGAGGGTCCCCAAACCAAATGCCAAGGTGAACAAAGTATTAATATTTGGTATAGCCAAACTTTCAGAACCAGCATTCAAGGTTTCTGGGTTCCTTTATCCTCTCATTAAAGAGCTGATAGGGTGGGTGCGGCGGCTCATGCCTGTAATCCCAGCACTCTGGGAGGCTGATGCAGGAGGATTGCTCGAGCCCAGGAGTTTAGGACCAGCCTGGGCGACACAGGAAGTCCTCATCTCTACAAAGAATAAAAGATATGTTGTTTAAAAAAAAAAAACACAAAAAAAGAGGCCAGGTGCAGTGGTTCATGTCTATAATCCCAGCGTTTTGGGAGGCCAAGGCAGGCAGATCACCTGAGGTCGGGAGTTTGAGACCAGCCTGGTCAACATGGTGAAACCCCGTCTCTAGTAGAAATACAAAAATTAGCAGGGCGTGGTGGCGGGCGCCTGTAATCCCAGCTACTCAGGAGGCTGAGGCAGGAGAATCACTTTAACCTGGGAGGCGGAGGTTGCAGTGAGCTGAGATTGCACCACTGCACTCTAGCCTGGGTGACAGAGCGAGACTCCATCTCAAAAAAAAAAAAAAAAAAAGAGGAAACGGAGGCTCGGAAGAGTGAAGTAACTTGGCTGAGGTCTTAAGCTTGTGCGAGTGGGAGCAGGATCCAGGGCTGCTGCCCGCAGTGGCTAACAGTGATGTGGGGCCAGCTTTGGAAGCCTGCACCCCTGTATTTAAATCCCAGCTCCAGTACTCAGTGGCGCTGTGACCTTCACCTCTGCACCTCGGTTTCTTCTCTCAGGGTCGTTGGGGAGATTAAATTGGATCCCGTAAGTAAAGTACTTAGACGACGGGTACCTGGCACATAGTAAGTACTTTATAGACTCTGTGACCCTATGCTGCTTCTCACTGGGGCGGCCACGTTTCTACATGTGCACCCCACAAATGACTCACGGTCACAGTGGGGACCCCAAGCCCCCGGCTCAGAGGAGCGGCTTCACGCGGCCTCTTATGTCTCCCGCCCAGGTACACCTCCTTGGTCAAGTACGACTCCGAGAGGCACTTCATCGACGACGTGCAGCTGCCCCTGGGCCTGGCGGTGGCCTCCTGCAGCCAGACGGTCACCTGTGTCCCCAATGGCACGTGGCGCAACTACAAGGCCGAGGTGCGCTTCGAGCCACGCCACAGGCCCACCCGCTTCCTCAGTACCACCATCGTGTACCCCAAGTACCCCAAGGCCGTCTACACCACCACCCTGGATTACAACTGCCGCAAGACGCTGAGGAGGTTTCTGTCCAGCGTGGAGCTCGAAGCCGCGGAGCTCCCGGGCAGCGACGACCTCTCTGATGAATGCTGACCCAGCAGGCTGGGCTGGGGTCGGACCGGCTCTCCCGCTGTCCTGCCCCCGACTGCCCTGGCCAAGCTGGGCGACCTTACCCTTCACGTCATTCCAGCCCCAGAGGAGTCTAACCTAGAGATACCTCCAAGCGCGGCCGGGGGAAGAGAAAAAAAAGAAAAAATCACTGCATCTCATAATTATTGAGATCTTTGTGTTGTAATTTTCAAGCTGTTTTTAGAGGGAATATATGTCCTGGTTTGCTGCTGTGTTGTTTCCCCAAAGTCTCAATCAGATGAGGCAACAAAAAGACCACCAGAATTGCAGGAAAGCAGCAGCAGTCTGGGATAGGGAGGGGGGAGGAGAGCTCTCCCTCCGTGGTCAGTTTGTCAGAAGAAAAGCATGGAAAAAGTGAGATTTAAGAAATCTCAGCCACGGGTGTCTTCACTGCACAAAAGTGGTGCTAATTCAGTAAACAGTGACACCTGTGTGGGTTCAATCTGTGGAGAGTTGAGTTCCATTCCTTTGTTTTTAAATTTCCACCTCCATTTGTGTTTCCTATTAACCTAAACTCTTGTAATTCTCTAAATCTTTTTTCATGATATAAAAAAAAAAGAAAATCCCAAACCACAATTTAAGATGCCTTTTTTTTTTAAAAAAAAAGGTTCTCCGTGTTGCCACCTGCTCCGGGAAGGCCAGGCCGATGGGCGGCCAGGTTTGGGAGCAGCGGCTTCGGCTCCGATTGCTTCCTGACGGTCAGTTCCAAGCACAGGCTCTGAGAAACGCCTCGAACCCTTGGTATCTGGTGACCGTCTCCGCAGGCTTCCGTGAGTCTCCGATAGGTGTTTTGGGCTTTTGGAATACTTTCAGAATACTTTCCCATTTTTTCATAAGGCAAAACGGAGTGGACGGCCTTTTTTTGAGAGAAACAGCATTCTAAGAGTGTGCTTGGAAAACACACTTTTTGGGAGTCCACGTGGGGAGTGGACACTCAGGACAGGAAGCGGTGGCCCTAAGACCTGCGGCCACCCGGAGGAGGCAGACGCAGGCGATGACCTGGTTCATCATGAGAGGAGCTAGAGTTGACTCAGTCTTAGGATCTCGATGGCGTCAGAATTGCAGAGGGTTTCTGCCAGTGCCTTAGGTCTAATTCAGAAAGCAAGGAAGGCTGGGCACGGTGGCTGGCGCCTGTAGTCTCAGCTACTTGGAAACTGAGGCAGGAGGATCTCTTGAGCCCAAGAATTCGAGACCGGTCTGGCAACATAGTGAGCCTCCATCTCTAAAAAAAAGTGGCAAAGCTGAGGAAATCTGTGCCCCCATCCCCCGACACCAGACAAGCTAAGGTGCATTCAGAGTAGGGAACGATGTCAAAACCTGGCCGCCGTGGTGGCGCGCATTCCTCTCACACCACCGTACGGAGGCAGGTGACAGTCAACTGAAATGTCCCCAAGGACCGTGTGAATTCGGCTGGCGTGGCCCAGCAGCGGGGTGGACCAGGGTGCGGTGGCTTCAGACCTGCCTCCCGCCACCCCGTCCTCCCCTAACCCCTTCTTGGGACCTCCTGCCAATCCCTGTGGTGTTTGAGTAAAGAAAGTGGCTGATGGTTTTACTTTTTTCTTCCAATATTGGAAAGAACAAACTAGATATTCCCCTTGAACACATCCAAATTATTTCCAGTGCCTGAGGGTTACCGAGCACTGTAAGCTCAGCTCGGCTGTAGCTCCGGGTTTCTGCCGATGGCCTCCATCTGCGCCGAAAGCTGAACTGAGCCCCGCGGTGCCCCGGAGCCACAGCAGCAGGTGCAGCGACAATCGCCGTCGTGCGCAGTCGCTGGAGTCCTGGAGAGCCACGCTGTCCTCTGCAGACAACAGCATCAGTCCGCTGTGCCCCAATGCATCGACGCCCTGTGGACGGGGCCTGCAGTCCACCCGTGGTCTGAGCTTGCCGGGCTGAAGCTCGGCTGGGACCCAGGGAGGGGCCACCCTGGGACCCACAGTCTCCTCAGTCACGTGCAGAGCAAAAAATGCTTCCTGTGTTTGGAAGAGCAAGTGACGCAGCATTTATTGATAAAAATGGATTTTTCTGTCTGATTTCATGCTGTGGTCGTTTAAGTGGTCAATGTCTTTTTTTTTTTTTTTTTTGACATGGAGTCTCGCTCTGTTGCCCAGGCTGAGTGGAATGGCGCCAACTCAGCTCACTGCAACCTTCACCTCCCAGGCTCAAGCGACTCTCCTGCCTCAGCCTCCTGAGCAGCTGGGATTACAGGTGCCCACCACCACGCCCAGCTAATTTTTGTATTTTTAGTAGAGACGGGGTTTCACCATGTTGGCCAGGCTGGTCTCGAACACCTGACCTTGTGATCCACCCGCCTCGGCCTCCCAATAATTTGTAAGTTATGTTAGCGGGATCCTCAAGGCCTTGCTTTGCCCCGTGGAGACGCTTGCTCGGATGAGCTCAGGAAACAGTACCGGCTGCGTGGCAGGTCTGGGTGTTGTGTGCGAGGACGTGGCCTTTGAACACCGCTGTGTTCTCAGAGGTCCTTAGGAGATATTTTTTTTTGTCTTAGGGGGACTGTGTTAAGTTCAGACAAATCATGCTGGGTGTGTAGAGAGTGTGAAATACGTCAGTGAAGTAAGTAGCAGTGAGCGATTGTGAATGTGTAATGTAAATGGAAAACCGGGTTTTACCGTGTTAAGTTATTCACTAGGGAGCCAGTCGTAGTTCTTTGTAATCCTCTTTCTTCCAAACCTGCTTTGCTGAAAGTTGCAGAAAAGGAAGTGTGTGGAGAGAAACAGAACCCTTCAGGGTGGGTCAGAGGACGCCATCCACAGTGGATTCGTGTTCGTTTGCAGGTGGAAGCAGTGATTTTTAGGACCCACTGATTAAAAACAAACATTCCCAAGTGTCTCTGAGAGATGCTGTTTATTTGTTAATTAAAAAGCTTTTTTCTCTGTCTTTTAAATTATGGCTTTCATGTAATAAGGATATTTTTAGTGAAAAATTGTTTTCCTTTCAAATTACAGACCTTTTAAAAAAACTTAATTTGAGCGAGTACCTTTTCATTTGACACTTTTCCTGTTTCTAACCTTAGGAAACCAGAATAGCGTTTGGCAGACACGACGTTTTCAGTTTACCTTTGACACCTGCCCCACTCCATTTTGCTTTGTGATGTCTTCATTTAACAATAAATTATCTGAAAAAACAAAACTTAGAGAGATGCTTCTGTTTTTAAAGTAGAATTATGTTTGTTTACGCAAAATGAGAAAAACAGCTCCTCATCTTGAGAAATTTTAAGACGTGATTATATTTAACAGTATTAATCTACAAGTACAAGATTTTCCGAGTGTGGCTGGGCATGGTGGCTCACACCTATAATCCCAGCGCTTCACAAGGCCAAGGCTGGAGGATCACTTGAGGCCAGGAGTTCGAGATCAGCCTTGGCAATGCAGTGTGACCCCATCTCTACAAAAATTAAAAATTAAAAAAGAAAGGGGCCAGGCGCCGTAGCTCCCTCCTGTAATCCCAGCACTTTGGGAGGCTGAGGCGGGCGGATCACCTGAGGTCAGGAGTCCGAGACCAACCTGACCAACCTGGTGAAACCCCGTCTCTACTAAAAATACCAAAATTAGCCAGGTATGGTGGGGCACACCTGTAATCCCAGCTACTTGGGAGGTTGAGGCAGGAGAATCACTTGAACCCGGGAGGCGGAGGTTGCAGTGAGCTGAGATCACGCCATTGCACTCCAGCCTGGGTGATGGAGCGAGACTCCATCTCAAAAAATAAATAAATAAAAATAAATAATTTCTGTAGCTTGCTTCAGGGGAGAAAAGGGTGAGGGAAGATCAGAGAGCCCTTCGCTTCTGCCGTTTTCTCAGTTTCCTTGAGCTTAAAATACACAGCAAGCGAAAGTACCGTATTTTGGGGCAGCATTTCCTGCACGCCATCCGTCCCTTTGGGCAAAGCAAAGAGAGAGTCAACAAGAAATATTGAAAATGGATGGAGGCCCTGTATTTCATTCAAGCATCCAATTCACGGCAAGGCTGTGTGTGTATTTGTCTGTCTTTGAGTGATGACTGGGAAGTAATTATGTCCCAGAGATGCAGCTCCCTCTTGGATGCTGATCTCCCCTACTGACTTCGGATTCACCCCAGCTCAGCGAATGCCTCTATTTTATCTATTTTATCTACGGTTTCTTGTATAGGAACGTGTACTCAGCACAAATCCTGCCCTGAGGCAGATTCACATAGCGTTCCTGCCTTTCCCTGCGAGCGTCCCACACAACCCTTCCCTACGGTGGACGAGTCCTGGGTCTAGGGGTAACGGTGCAGGGACCCACCATCTCCCCTAGCTGCTGCCTGGGACCTCATGGCTTCTGCTCATGAGGCTCTATTAGATGTTTCTTTCTGTTTTGCTTTGTTTTATTGAGACAGGATCTCCCTCTTTCTCCCAGGCTGGAGTGGAGTGGCACAATCATAGTTCACTGCTGCCCAAGAACCTCTGGACACAAATTATCTGCCCACCTCAGCCTCCCGAGTAGCTGAGACTACAAGCATGTGCCACCACATCAGGCTAATTTTTAAATTTTTTTTGTAGAGATGAGGTTTCGCCATATTGCCCAGGCTGGTTTCGAACTCCTGGGCTCAAGCAATCTTCCTGTCTTACCGTCCTAAAGTTTTGGGATTACAAGTGTGAGCCACTGTGCCCATCTTAAATGTTTCTTTCTGAGGAACTAAATCTGTCAGCCTCTTTCTTCCAGCTCTCAGCTTCCCTGAACCTTGAGGATAGGTTTCCATAGGTCTGCCCATTGCGAAACAAATGCAGAGTATCGTTTCTGTAATTTTTTTTCCAGTCCCCTTTTAATAGGAATGATGCCTGATTTGGCTGACTGGGATAACAATGAGGGCTAATTTTGCCAATTAGGTTATATGGTGTAAATATTCCATAAAATGAATTGGCTAATCAGCAGTTCCAAGGTTTTGAGGGAAAAATATTTAAAGCACATAAGATTAAGGTACAGGGATGTGTGGGTGTGGGCACGTGCAGAGAAATAGTCAAAAGGGTGTTGAAACCAGTCATGTCCCCAACCTTTCTAAGTATCTCAGATTAAGCTGGTGCTCCCAAGAGGAAAAGTAGTAGGGATAATTAACAATAATATGATGAATCTCAAAAAGCCTTTTTGGTATAGTCTCTGGAAATTTAAGAAGCGAATGACTCTATTGATTAGGTAGCAAATCCCATTGCAAAGAATATGTCTTTCCAAAATGCTGATAATTTTATTTAAGAATAATCCCTATCAAGTAGTTTGTTTTTATTACTATTTTCCAAATTGCTTAGAAATACAAATAAGGTTCTATGATCAAATAAGTTTGGGGACATGAAAAGCTGAACAAGCTGAGTGTGTTTATTACAGGGCTGCTTGGGATGTTTGTATCGGTCAGCTCTTGCTGTGTAACAACCACCCTAAAAATCACACCACTGCATACAAGAGTAAGCATTTATTTCTTGCATACAAATCTATAGTCCGATACAGCAGTTCTGCCTCTGGCTAAGTGTTGAATTCAGATCTGTTCCACTCAGCCCTGAAACAGGTTAGAGAGGTGGCTTGGCCATGTTTTTCTCAGGGCAGAAGTGCTGTAATACCTCCTAAGGTCTACACTGGGACCTGGCACGCTGTTACTTCCACCCACATTCTATTGGCCAAAGCAAGTTACTTGGATGGATACACCAAACATCAAAAGTCAGGGTACCATACTTCTTCCACGGATGTGGGGAGAAGCAGTGAATATTCGCTCTATAATCACCTACCCCAGCGGTTAATATGGTAATGTGCGTTGAGAGTCTTCAACAGAGGAAATCTAGTAGATGGCACTTTCCAAACTCACTGGATCACAGAACCCACGAGCATTTCATGGGACTAATGTTTTTGGAATAAACTTTCAGAAATGCTAGTTCTTTTTGTTTTTGTTTTTTGTTGTTGTTTTTTTTTTTTGAGACAGATTCTTACAGTGTTGCCCAGGCTGGAGTGCAGTGGTGTGATCTCTGCTTACTGCAACCTCAGCCTCCTGGGTTCAAGTGATTCTTTTGCCTCAGCCTCCTGAGTAGCTGGGATTACAGGCGTGCACCACCACACCTGCCTAATTTTTTGTATTTCTAGTAGAGACGGGGTTTCACTATGTTGGCCAGGCTCGTCTTGAACTCCTGACCTCGTGATCTGCCCGCCTCAGCCTCCCAAAGTGCTGGGGTTACAGGCATGAGCCACTGCGCCCGGCCAAGAAATGCTAGTTTATATTCATAACATTCAGAGTCCAGTCAGGGAAACCAAAACCGTACTAGATATTTAACACAGAGAGCTGCTCACACAGATGTTGGAAGGCTGGGCGAACAGGGTATACGGAAGTCACCCAGATTATCATGAACTTCAAGAGGCAGCTCCCACGCCTAGCACCACTCTGATGGCAATTTCCACCTACAGCAGCTAGAAAAAGATGAGCAAATTAAACTCCAAGTAAGAAGAAGGAATTTAATAATGAATATTTAATAATAAAGATAGAAGTATAAAGCAATGAAATAGAGACAGACAAATCATTGTGAATTTTTTTAAATAAAAATTGTGATTCTTTGAAAAGATTGGAAAAAATTGATAAACTTCGGCTAGATTGATGAAGAAATAGCCAGAAAGCAAAAATTACAATATCATAATTGAATAGAGATCCGACAGACCTCGAAAGTATAATAAGATAACTTTACAAACAACTTTATGTTGATAAATTAGACAACTTGGATAAAATAGAAAAATTTCTTTAAAAAAAGCATCTTACCAAACTGACACAAGATGAAATAGACAAGAAGAATACACACATCTGTACAAACTATTTACATAAAATGATAATATACATGTATCAAAGGAATTTTTCTCACAAAGGAAACCCCAGGTCTAGATGATGGTGAATACTATCAAACATTCAAGGAAGAAATAACACCAATCGTACACACACCTGTTTGGAAAGCGGAGGCAGAAGGAACGCTCTCCAGTTTGTTCCGAGGCCAGCATTTCTGTGATTCCACAGCCTAACACAGCCATTGAATGAAAACCATAGACTAATATCATTCATGAATATAGATAGAAAAATCCTTAAGAAAAATAAGTGAATTAAATCCAGGAATATATAAAAAGGATCATAGGTCATAACTAAATGTGGTTCATCCCAGGAATGCAGGGTTGGTTTAACATTTGAAAATCAATCAATGTAATTCACCATACTGACAGGTTAAAACAACAACGAGAAAGAACATACAATTATCTCCATAGATGCAGAGAAAACATTTGACAACATTTAACACTTATGTGTGATAAAAGCTCTCAGCAAAGCAGGAATAGAAGGAAACTTTTCCAACCTAGTAAAAGGCATCTGTGAGAAACCTTCAAGTACTTCATGGTGAAAAGAGTGAATGTTTCCAAGTGGGGGAACAAGGCAAGGACATTCACTCTAACCACTGAGTGTCGACATTGTGTTGGATTCGTCTGTGAATAATATAAGAAAAGGAAGAACATGCAGATTTTAAAGGAAGAAGTAATATTCTCCCATATGCAGAAAACACAATCACCGTGAAATGCATTTAATGAGAAAACACTGAACGCCGACCTCCTAAGATTGGGAATGAGGCAAGAATACTCACTTCACCATTGTATTGTCGGTCGTAGCCCATGAAATAAGGCAAGAAAAATAAAAGGTATAAAGATTGGAAAGGGGCCGGGCACGGTGGCTCATGCCTGTAATCCCAGCACTTTGGAGGCCAAGGCAGGAGGATCGCCTGAGGTCAGGAGTTCGAGACCAGCCTGACCAACATGGTGAAACCCCGTCTCTACTAAAAATACAAAAATTAGCTGGGCGTGGTGGTGGACACCTGTAATCTCAGCTACTCAGGAGGCTGAGGCAGGAGAATCACTTGAACCCAGGAGGCAGAGGTTGCAGTGAGCTGAGATTGCGCCATTGCACTCCAGCCTGGGTGACAGAGTGAGACTCTGTCTCAAAAAAAAAAAAAAAATTGGAAAGGAAGAAGTAAAACTGTCCCTGTACATAGATGACATGACTGTTTACATATAGAAAAATCTTACAGAATCAACCAAAATATTATTAGAATTAATAACTAAATATATCAAGGTCTCAGAATACAATGTGGATATATGAGTCAATTGTGTTTCTATATACTGGTAACAAAAATGAAATTTAAATCATAAATTTATATGTCACAAATCACAAAATACTTAGGAATAAATAAAATCACATGCAGTCTTTACATTGAACACTCTAAAACACTGCAGAGGGAAATTAAGGAACATGCAAATAAACGAAGTACACCGTGTTCCTGGAGTGGAAGACTTGCCACTAAGATGTCACCTGTCTCCAAACTGTACTATAGATTCAACGCAATCCCAGTCATAATCCAACAAAGTGTTTGTTTTTTAATTAAATAAAGTTTGAAAGTTTGTTTTAAAATTTATATAGGGTGAGGCATGGTGGCTCACAGCCTGTAATGCCAGCACTTTGGGAGGCCGAGGCGGGTGGATCAGCTGAGGTCAGCAGTTCAAGGCCAGCCTGGCCAACGTGGTGAAACCTGGTCTCTACTAAAAATACAAAAATTAGCTGGGCATTGTGGCACATGCCTGTAATCCCAGCTAATCGGGAGGCTGAGGCAGGAGGAGAATCGACTGTACCTGAGAGACAGAGGTTGCAGTGAGCTGAGATCACACCACTGCACTCCAGCCTGGGCCACAGAGCAAGATTCAATCATAAAAAAAAAAAAAATTAGCTGGACGTGGTGGTGGGTGCCTGTAGTCCCAGCTGCTCGGGAGGCTGAGGCAGGAGAATCGCTTGAACCTGGGAGGTGGAGGTTGCAGTGAGCCGAGACCATGCCGCTGCACTCCAGCCTGGGTGACAGAGCGAGACTGTCTCAAATAAATAAAAATAAAATTTATATAGAAATTTAAGGAACCTAGAATAGCCAAAATAATCTCAAAAAAAGAAAAACACCAACTGATTTTAAAGCTACAGTTATCAAGACAGTATAGGGCCAGATGTAGTCGCTCACACCTGTAATACCAAAACTTTGGGAGGCTGAAGTGGGAGGATCACTTGAGCCCAGGAATTTGAGACCAGCTTGGGCAACATAATGAGACTCCATCTCTACAAAAAAATAAAAAATTAGCTGGGTGTGGTGGTGTGCACCTGTAGTCCTAGCTACTTGGGAGGCTAAGGCAGGAGGATTGCTTGAGCCCAGGAGTTTGAGGTTACAGCGAACTATGATGGTGTCACTGTACTCCAGCCTTGGTGACAAAGCAAGACCTTGTCTTGGAAAAAAAGGTAGTATAATTTGTCTTAAAGATAGACATGTAAGTGGGACAGAATAGGAGTCCCATAGTAGACCTGTTGCAAATTGATTTTGACAAAGACGCCAAAGCAATTTGATGGGGAAAGGAGAGCATTTTCAGTAAATGGGGCTGGAACCACCAGTTCTCTATATGGGGAAAAAAGTAAACCTCAACCTCTACCACATACCACGAGCAAAAATTAATTCCAGATAGATTATAGACCTAAATGTAAATGTTTAAAAGAAAAGCTAGGAGAAAGTCTTTAAGACCTGCGGGGTGCAGCGGCTCATGCCTGTAATCCCAGCACTTTGGGAGGCCAACACGGACGGATCGCTGGAGGCCAGAAGTTTGAGACCAGCCTGGCCAACATGATGAAACCCCGTCTTTACTAAAAATACAAAAATTAGCCAGGTGTGGTGGCGGGCACCTGCAGTCCCAGTACTCAGGAGACTGAGGCACAAGGATTGCTTGAACCCAGGAGGTGGAGGTTGCAGTGAGCTGAGATTGCAGCATTGCACTCTAGACTGGGCGAGAGAGCAAGACTCTATCTTGGGGGGAAAAAAAGACCTGAGAGTGGGCAAAAATTTTTTTCTTTTTTCTTTTCTTTTTTTTTTTTTTGAAAGGAGTCTTGCTGTGTCATCCAGGCTGGAGTGTAGTGGCACGATCATAGCTCACTGCAATCTTGAACTCCTGAGCCCAAGCAATCCTCCCATCTCAGCCTCCCAAGCAGCTGGAACTGCAGGTGTGTGCCACCACACCCAGTCAATTTTAATTTTAATTTTGTAGAGATAAGATTTTGCTATGTTGCTTAGGCTGATCTTAAACTTCTGACCTCAAACAATCCTCCCATCTTGGCCTCCCCAAGTTCTAGGATTATAGGCATAAGACGCCATACCCAGCCCAAAGAGTTCTTAAACAGGATACAGAGTGAATAACCATAAAGACAAAAAGTAACAAACTTGTTTCATCAAAATTAAAAACCTCTGTTCTTTAAAGACTCTGTTAAGAAAGCATAAGTCAAGACTGGGAGAAAAATTCACATCTGACAAAGGACTTGTATCCAGAATATGCAAAGAGCTCTTTAAGTCAACTTTTTTTTTTTTTTTTTTTTGAGACAAGGTCTCGCTCTGTCACCCAGACAGTGATGCAATTATGGCTCACTGCAGCTTCAACTTCCTGGCCCCAAGCTGTCCTCCCACCTCAGCCTCCTGAGTAGCTGGGACTACAGGCACGTGCCACCATGCCTGGCTAATTTTTTTGTATTTTTGTAGAGATGGGGTTTCACTATGTTGCCCAGGCTGGTCTTGAACTCCTGGGTTCAAACAATCCTCCCACCTCAGCCTCCCAGAGTGCTGGGGTTACAGCCGTGAGAACGACCCTATTAAAAATGAGCAAAAGACTTGAACAGACAGTTCACAAAGGAAGATATATGGATGGGAAATAAGCCCATGAAACGGTGTTCAAAACCATTAGGTATCAGGGAAATGCAGATTAAAGCTATGATTAAATATAATTTGATGCTTATCTATGAGAAATGAAAACATAGGTCCACCAAAATGCTTGCACATAAGAAAGTTACTGGTCATTCTGTTGATAGTCATATGATGAAGAGACCAAAATGTCCATCCATCAACAGAGTAATTGATAAACAAAAATATAGTGTATATTAATATATATAATAGAATACTATTTAGACCAGGCACGGTGGCTCACACCTGTAATCCCAGCATTTTGGGAGGCCGAGGCGGGCGGATCATCTGACGTCAGGACTGCGAGACCAGCCTGACCAACATGGTGAAACCCCGTCTCTACTAAAAATACAAAATTAGCCAGGCCTGGTAGCACATGCCTGTCATCCCAGCTACTCAGGAGGCTGAGGCAGGAGAATCACTTGAACCCAGGAGGTGGAGGTTGCAGTGAGCCGAGATCGCACCATTGCACTCCAGCCTGGGTGACAAGAGGGAAACTCTGTCTAAAAATATATATATATACACACACAGACATATATATATATATATATATACACACACACACAGACATATATATACACACACACACAAAATAGAATACTATTTAACAATAAACAGGAATAAATTGCTGATACATGTAATATCGTGGGTGACTTGCATAGACATGATGCTGACAGGCATCAAAGGATGCATATAGTATGATTCCACTTAAGAGATTCTAAAACAGGCAAAAGGACTCTAGGTTGAAAAGAATTAGACTAATGATTACCTAGATGTGTGTGTATGGTGGTTGGTGACTTACTGGGAAGGAACATAAGGATCCTTTCGATGGAAATTCAAATGTTTCAGATCACGAGGGGGTAGGTACATGGGTACAGGTTAAGCTAAATGCAGGAGGAATTTAGTTTATAGTTTAATTTTGAAGCAAAGATAACAATCTGATATGGTTAGGCTTTGCATCCCCACCCACATCTCATCTTGAATTGTAATCCCTATAATCCCCACAGGTGGGGGTGGTTGGATCGTGGGGGCAGCTCCCCCCATCCTGATCTGGGGATAGTGAATTCTCATGAGATTATAATCCCCACAGGTGGGGGTGGTTGGATCGTGGGGGCAGCTCCTCACATGCTGATCTGGGGATAGTGAATTCTCACGAGATCCAATGGCTGTTTAAGGAGCTCTTCCCCCTCCGCTCAGCACTTCTCCTTCCTGCCGCCTTGTGAAGAAGGTGGTTGCTTTCCCTTCACGTTCTGCCATGATTGTAAGTTTCCTGAGGCCTCCCCAGGCATGCTGAACTGTGAGTCAATTAAAGTCAATTAAACCTCTTTCCTTTATAAATTACCCAGTCTTGGGCAGTTCTTTACAGCAGAGTGAAAACAGACTAATACACAACCCCTTTCCAAACCAAACCCCTTTCGGTTGTTGACAGAAGATGCAATGAATGCCTATATTTCTAAAGCCAAGGAGCTGATAGAAAAATATGGAAATTAGAATAAAGCATAGGAGAAATTTTTCCTTTTTTTTTTTGAGACTGAGTCTTGCTCTATCACCCAGGCTGGACTGTGGTGGTGTGATCTCGGCTCACTGCAACCTCCACCTCCCGGGTTCAAGTGATTCTTGTGCCTCAGCCTCCCGAATAG
Organism: Homo sapiens; assembly: GCF_000001405.40. Lineage (NCBI taxonomy): Eukaryota > Metazoa > Chordata > Mammalia > Primates > Hominidae > Homo > Homo sapiens. The sequence continues at coordinate 430,705 of NC_000017.11, read as the reverse complement.
CTGGGATTACAGATACGTGCCACCACGCCCAGCTAATTTTTGTATTTTTAGTAGAGACGGGGTTTCACCATGTTGGCCAGGATGGTCTCGAACTCCTGACCTCAAATGATCCGCCCACCTTGGCCTCCCAAAGTCCTGGGATTGCAGGCATGAGCCACTGTGCCCGGCTGAAATTTTTCCCTTTGAAGGAAATGGTATCACAACCTAACATTTAGAGAGAGAGATGCTGGTTCACTCTATGTATCAGGTATATTTTTGCTATTAGCATGAATTGTAGTACTTAATTAGGAGTATGGTGAAACTACATAGTTAACTAAATTGTAGTTGCTTAAAGCAGGTGTCTTTAAAAGTTCTTTTAGAAAAGTGTTTATTTTTTATTTTTATAGATTTAGGGGGTACGGATGCAGTTTTGTTACGTGGATATATTATATAGTGGCCAAGTCTGGGCTTTTGGTGTGCCCATCACTCAAATAGTGTACATTGTACCAAAAAGGTAATTTCTCATCTCTCACCCTCCTCCCACCTCCCCACCTTTCCAAGTCTCCAGTCTCTCTTATTGCACATTCCATGACCCTGTGCACACATGGTTTAGCTCCCACTTTTACATGAGAACATGTGGTGTTTGACTTTTGGTTTCTGAGTTGTTTCATTTGGGATGATGGCCTCCAGCTCCAACATGTTGCTGCAAAAGACATGGTTTTATTCTTTTTTTATGGCTGAGGGGTATCCATGGTATACATTTGCCATATTTTCTTTATTCAGTTGCCCGTGGATGGGCGCTTAGATTGATTCCATGTCTTCACTATTGTGAGTTGTGCTGCATTGGACCTGCAAGTGTGGGTGTCTGCATTGGACCTGCGAGTGTGGGTGTCTGCATTGGACCTGCGAGTGTGGGTGTCTGCAATGGACCTGCGAGTGTGGGTGTCTGCATTGGACCTGCGAGTGTGGGTGTCTGCATTGGACCTGCGAGTGTGGGTGTCTTTTGGATAGAAGAGTTTCTTTTCCTTTGGGTGGACACCCACGGTGGGATTGTTGGGTAGAATGGTAGTTCTACTTTTGGTTCTCTGAGAACTCTCCATGCTGGTTTTTCTTGAGGGTTGTGCTGATTTACATTCCCACAAGCAGCATGCAGGCCTTCCCTCTTCTCTACGTCCTTGCCAACATCTGTTGTTTTTTGACTTTGTAGAAAGTCTTGCCCTGGTAGTATGTATACAGACTTTAATAATTGATTGTTCTTTTGGCTCGTCTGTTCTTCTACAATGAGTTAGTGTTACTGGTATAATAAAAACAGGAATTAAGAATCAAAAAATAATAAGAATCAAATAAATGGCCAGGCACACTGGCTCACACCTATAATCCCAGCACTTTGGGAGGCTGAGGTGGGGGCATCACTTGAGGTCAGGAGTTCAAGACCAGCCTGGCCAACATGATGAAACCCCATCTCTACTAAAAAATACAAAAATTAGCTGGGCGTGGTGGGAAGCACCTGTAATCCCAGCAACTCCAGAGGCTGAAGCAGGAGAATCACTTGAACTGGGCAGGCGGAGGCTGCAGTGAGCCGAGATCACACCACTGCACTTCAGCCTGGGCAACAGAGTGAGACTCCATCTCAAAAACAAACAAACAAACAAAAAGCCCTTTCTTCCCAAAGTATATACTTTGTCAAAATGGTACAACTAAGATTTGTGGGCCATGTGCCGTGGCTCATGCCTGTATTCCCAGCACTCTGGGAGGCTGAGGGAGGTGGATTGCTTGAGCCCAAGAGTTTGAGACTAGCCTGGTCAACATGACAAAACCTTGTTTCTACAAAAAATACAAAAATTAGTTGAGCGCAGTGGCGTGAACCTGTAGTCCCAGCTACTTGGGAGGCTGAGGTGGGAGAATCGGTTGAACCTGGGAGGTGGGGATTGCAGTGAGCCTTGATCATACCACTGCCCTCCAGCCTGGGCAACAGGGCAAGACCCTGTCTCACAAAAAACAAACAAAAAACAAAAACAAACAAAAAACAAACAGGATTTGTACATTCTAATGTAATTTTTTTCTCAAAGAAAATGCAGAGTCATCCAAAGGGTTGATCTTGCCCACTGCACAGAGAGAGCCAATTTACCAAGACAGCAGTATTGCAACAGAGAAAGAGTTTAATAAACACAGAGCCAGCTAAGCAGAAGAACAGGAGTTTATTATTGCTCAAATCTGCCTCTGAAAATTCAGAGGCTAGAGTTTTGTTTGTTTGTTTTGAGACGGAGTCTTGCTCTGTTGTCCAGGCTGGAGTGCAGTGGTGCGATCTCGGCTCACTGCAACCTCTGCCTCCCGGGTTCAAGTGATTCTTGTGCCTTGGCCTCCCGAGTAGCTGGGACTACAGGCGCCCACCACCATGTCTGATTAATTTTTATATTTTTAGTAGAGATGGGGGTTTTACCAGGTTGGCCAGGCTGGTCTCGAACTCCTGACCTCAGATGATCCACCTGCCTCAGCCTCCCAAAATGCTCAGCTCCCAAAAGGCATGAGCCACCACACCTGGTTCTGAGTCATAATTTATAATCTGTGGCTGATTTGTTAGTTTCACAAAGGCAGTGTGGTCCCCAAGCAAGGAAGGGGTTTGTTTGGGGTAGGGGTTGTTATCATCTTTGTTTCATTGTTGGTTTGTTTTTTTGAGACAGGGTCTTGTCCTGTCATCCAGGCTAGAGCACAGTGGCACGATCTCAGCTTACTGCAACCTCTGCCTCCTGAGTAGCTGGGCCTGCAGTGCGTGCCACTACACCTGGGTAATTTCTGTATTTTTTGTAGAGACAGGGTTTCACCATGTTGCCCAGGCTGCTGTCAAACTCTTGGGCTTAAGTGTTTCACCCGCCTCGGCCACCCAAAGTGTTGGGATTACAGGCGTGAGCCACCGCACCCAGCCTGAAAGTGCTCATTCTTAAAAATAAAAAAATGCATATTAGCAAAAATAAAAATCATTCGTATTCTCCCCAGCCATTGCTAATTTTTTGGAGAACCGCAGCTTTTGGTGGTGGTCAGAATGGAGCTGTCTAAGGGGATACGTTGCTTTTAGACTGAGTACTGTTCTCAAGCTCACAATGGTGCAGTGTCGAATCAAGACGTTAGAGCGTGAAGGGGCTTTTTTTTTTAAGTGGAAGGTTTTTGTTCTTTATGTTTGCTGGCTTCCTTTTCAGAATGAGAATAGGGGCCTTGATGTGTCAAACCAGTTGCTGGTAATTACAAATTACTCCTTTTCTCTAGAAGGCTTTGGGCTTTGTTTAGGTAATTAAGCTGGCAAGTACAATTAACAGGATGTTCCCAGTGCCAGCACACCACCTTCCCGACCCCAAGAATTCTTACAAAGCAAGAAGGGTCCAAAAAGTTAGTTTAAATGAACTGTTAAATGAATTGTTTCATTCATTTTATTCACGTGTTAATCGTATCCACTTACTTTCAAAAGGAGATAGGGATAGCTACAAGACATCTGTGTGACAGAGGCACTAAAACCCTGTCTGTTGGTTGCTGTGAATCTCCTGTTTTTTGGAAAAGTGACCCATTTTAAAGTTCAGGGTGATCACCGGGCACCTGCCACGAGTGACTTCGTTTTGGTCGCTCTGGACTGTTGGGCCTAGTGCAGTACCTTAGTCCAAAACAATGGCCTCCTGTAAATTTTTTTACGCTAGTATAAGGAAGTGAGTCCCTAAAAGACAAGGCTTTTCTCGGGACTAAACTCGAAGAGGACTTTACTACCACCTGTATCTACACAGCGGACACAAAGTCGAAGATCCTCACATTGACCCAATGCCATTTCTGTTTTTCTTTTTCTTTTTCTTTTTGAATTGAGATGGAGTCTTGCTCTGTCGCCCAGGCTAGAGTGCAGGGGCACGATCTCAGCTCACCGCAATCTCCACCTCCTAGGTTCAAGCAATTCTCCTGCCTCAGCCTCCCGAGTAGCTAGGATTACAGGCACCCACCACCACACCCAGCTATTTTTTGTATGTTTAGTAGAGATGGGGTTTTGCCATGTTGGCCAGGCTGGTTTCAAACTCCTGACCTCAGGTGATCCGCCCACCTCTGCCTCCCAAAGCGCTGGGATTGCAGGCGTGAGCCACCGTGCCCGGCCCCAATGCCGTTTCCTTTTTGGCTCTTAGGAAAGGCAAAGAGGGCATTTAAAACTGGGAGTAACCCATAGTAGAATGAGTACACACAGACTTTGAGCCAGAATGCCTGGTTCAAATCCCAGCTTCACCACTTAGTAGCTGTGTGACCTTGGGCTAGCCCCTTAAACTCCCTATAGAACAGGGATGGCAAGAGTTCTTTACTCCCAGAGATGTCGTGACGATTAAATGAGTTGATATGTGCAAAGCGCTTAGAACAGTACCTGGCGTGAGTTAAAAGCTATATGAGTGTTTATTGTTTTAATTGTCTTTTGGCTTATTTCACCCCCCCAAAACATACCCAAAACACTAGAAAATTGCACTAAAATGTGCATATAAGGATACTCATTGCAAAGTTGTTTAGAATAGCCAAAAAAAAAAAAAAAAAAAAAAAGGCTGGGCACAGTGGCTCACACCTGTAATCCCAGCAGTTTGGGAGGCCAAGGCGGGCAGATCACGAGGTCAGGAGTTCGAGACCAGGACCAGCCTGACCAACATGGTGAAACCCCATCTCTATGAAAAATACAAAAATTAGCCCGGCGTGGTGGTGGGCGCCTGTAATCCCAGCTACTTGGGAGGCTGAGGCAGGAGAATCACTTGAACCTGGGAGGCGGAGCTTGCAGTGAGCCGAGATCGTGCCACTGCACTCCAGCCTGGGCAATAGAGAGAGACTCTATCTCAAAAAAAAAAAAAAAAGAAAAAAGAAAAAAAAGAAACTAGACGTCCACAGATAGAGAACTGAATAAACAGTTCATACAGTGGAATACTAGGCAAACATCACAAACGATGATGCAGATGTTAGTTTAGTGATTTGGAAAGACATCCATGCCATATATATATATATATAAATATTTTTGTTTTGTTTTGTTTTGTTTTTTGAGATGGAGTCTTGAAAAAATACACCCAGGCTAGGGTGCAGTGGCGCAATCTCAGCTCACTGCAACCTCTGCCCCCTGGGTTCAAGCAATTCTCCTGCCTCAGCCTCCCGAGTAGCTGGGACTACAGCTGTGCACCACCATGTCCGGCTAATTTTTTTGTATTTTTAGTAGAGACAGGTTTTCACCATGTTGGCCAGGCTGGTCTTGAACTCCTGACCTCAAGTAATCTGCCCACCTCAACCTCCTAAAGTGCTGGGATTACAGGTGTGAGCCACCGCACCTGGACACCAAGCCATATTTTTAAGAAAATTATTTAAAAACAATTTATGTATTGTTGTCCCATTAATTTTCTTTTCTTTTCTTTTCTTTTTTTGAGATGGAGTTTTGCTCGTTGCCCAGGCTGGAGTGCAATGGCGCGATCTTGGCTCACTGCAACCTCTGCCTCCCGCGTTCAAGCGATTCTCCTGCCTCAGCCTTCCTGAGTAGCTGAGATTACAGGCATGCACCACCACACCCGGCTAATTTTGTAAGTTTAGTAGAGACAGGGTTTCCCCATGTTGGTTGGGCTGGTCTCGAACTCCTGACCTCAGGTGATCCACCTGCCTCGGCCTCCCAAAGTGCTGGGATTACAGGCGTGAGCCATTGCGCCCGGCCTTAATTTTCTTTTTCATTTTTTAAATGTTTTGTAGAGACAGGGTCTCATTTTTGTTGCCCAGGCTGGTCTTGAACTCCTGGCCTCAAGAAATCCTCCTGTATTGGCCTCTCAAAGAGCAGGGGTTGAGCCACCATGCGTGGCCATATTTTTTATTTTTTCAGAGCTAGGGTCTTGTTCTGTTACCCAGGCTGGAGTGCAGCTACAGCTTACTGCAGACTTGAGCTCCTGGCCTCAAGTGATCCTCCCACATCAGCCTCCCAAGGTGCTGGGGTTACGGACATGAGCCAACACACCTGGCAATTTTGTTTTCCTGTACTTAGATATATTAATAGAAAAAGGCTGGAAGGATGAATCCAAACAGATGAGGCTCTCTCTCCTAATGGTGGGACTAGTCAGTGTTTTTAAAACTTTTTTTTTTGAGACAAAGTCTTGTTCTGTCGCTCAGGCTGGAGTGCAGTGGAGAGCGATCTCGGCTCACTGCAACCTCCACCTCCTGGGTTCAAGTGATTCTCCTGCCGCAGCCTCCTGAGTAGCTGGGACTACAGGCGTCCGCCACCGCACCCGGCTAATTTTTGTATTTTTCATAGAGATGGGGTTTCACCATGTTGGCCAGGCTTGTCTCGAACTTCTGACTTCAAACGATCCGCCCACCTTGGCCTCCCAAAGTGCCGGGATTACAGGCATGTGCCATCACGCCCAGCCTCCTAAAACATTTTTTTTTTTTTTTTTGCTTCTCTGTATTTTCTAGTTTGCTTCACTACCTATGCATTTCTTGAAAAGTAAGATTTGGGTGACATCACACTGTTTCTGGTGATCTGATTTAATCGTAGAGAAACCAGAGAATTAAATGGTTAGTGTGCCTGTCCCTTAGACCAGGGTCACGAACTGGGAAGAATGAGATTTTCTGCTATTAGCAAGCTAAAAAGTTAGCCTGCTATAATTTCTTTTCATGTTTTTTTTTTTTTTTTTTTTTTTTGAGACGGAGTCTTGCTCTGTTGCCCAGGCTGGAGTGCAATGGCATAATCTCAACTCACTGCAGCCTCCGCCTCCCAAGTTCCAGCGATTCTCCTGCCTCGGCCTCCCGAGTAGCTGGGATTACAGGTGCCAGACACCGTGCCAGGATAGTTTTTGTATTTTTAGTAGAAATGGGGTTTCACCATGTTGGCCAAGCTGGTCTCGAACTCCTGACCTCTTGATCCCCCAACCTCGGCCTCCCAAAGTGCTAGGATTATAGGTGTGAGCCACTGTGCCTGGCCGCCCGCCACAATTTCATGGATGTGAGCTAAAGACAGGAGACTCTGGGGCCAGAGACAAGACAAAGGATGTTTATTAGTCACAGCAAAGCAGTAGCCAGAGTGTTTGCAATTGTCCTGGTTTCCTCAGAATCACTTCCCACAGGGTGACAGGAAGAGGCTCTAGGTGACATGAGGACAGAAGGGCTTACGTTACAGCAGCGGAGCTCTGAGCCCGGGAACCGAGATCTTCTGTCATCATTGAAGCTAATCTGCCCTTTGCTCTGGAGGGAGACACGATCTCTATCTTCCAAGGCTATTCATCCTATGAAAGAGAGTCTGAATCAAAGGTAGCCAGTGGTGACGGGGAGAAACATAAGTAGAGTGAGAATTCCATACGGGGAATTGTGTCCCGACAACCAGAGCCTCTCACGGTGAATGTGCAGGGAGCTACCTGGGACTTTTCTGATACCGTAGGTCTGGTTTGCAGGGAGGACCTGAGAATCCACTAGCAAGGGAGTTTCTTTTTAAAACATTTTGTTAATTTTTTTGAGGGAGTCTTGCTCTGTTGCCCAGGCAGGAGTGCAGTGGCGTGATCTTGGCTTACTGCAGCCTCAACTTCCCAGGCTCAAGCTATCCTCCCACCTCAGCTTCCCACGTAGCTAAGACTATAGGCATGCGCCACCACACCTGGCTGGCCAAAATGTTTATTATTTTTTAGAAACAGAGTCTCGCTCTGTCACCCAGGCTGGAGTGCAGTGGTGTAACCATAGCTCACTGTAACCTTGAGCTCCTGGGCTCAGTTGATCCTCCTGCTTTAGCCTCCTGAGTGGCTGGGAGGGCCAACTATTTTTCTTTTTTTTTGTAGAGACAGATTCTGGCTCTGTTGCCCATGCTGCTCTCTAACTCACGGCCTCAAGTCATCCTCCCACTTCAGCCTTCCAATGTGCTGGGACTACAGGCACGAGCCGCTGTGCACCCCCAACAAGAGAGTTTCTAACAAGCCCCTGTCATGTTGGTTCTTCTGGTCCCAGGACCACATTTTGTGCAGTGCAGCCTTAGGCTCCGGTCCTCAACGGCACGGCGTGGGCAGGAGCTGCAGGCAGAGGCTGCGGAGAGGAGCCCGGAAGCACGGCTCTGGGATGGTGGAAGGAGGCACATGCCTGTCCAGTGACGGTCAGAGGGGATGTCAGTGGTGTCAGAGGCCCAGCTTAGACCATGGACAAACACGCAGTGTGGCCAGGAGGTCTGAGACAATGGGGGCCCTCGGGAGCCCGGGTGGTAGAGGTTTCTACCTCCCCAGGCCCCTCCTCCCCTTCTGGCCACAATTCCCAGGAACCCTTCTCTCTTCCAAAACCAGTCCTTCCATTCCACTGACCCCACGGACAAGCCCCATTGGTCTATCTCCTCCCATTGCTGCCTTGATCTATCTCCTCCCATTGTTGTTGACCCCTGGGGGGTGTGGCTTGGCTCCCACCTGCTGAGGTCTTAGATACTGCAGTGCAGTAATTAAAAGCAGGATCTCTGGAACCAGCTAGCCTGGGTGTGACATCCCAGCGTCTCCTCTTACTCCTGGTGTGACCCTGGGCAAGTCACTTTCCCAGTCTGTGCCCATTTCCTTGGATGTGATGGGAACTGTAGCATCTTGCACCTCAAACATTGTCGAGGAGCTGAAACAAAGTCATGTATGTTCAATGGCCAACACCTGCCTGGGCAGAGGAGATGCCACAGAAACAGGAACTGTTAGTATCATTCTGGCAGCAACACACAGAGAACTGAATATTTAGCAGTTGCTTGATATAGATTTCCTAAAAGACAGTTGGAGACCTTAGAGCAATTCTCTTAGGAATTGTGTAATTCTAGCAATCACCTCCTCTCTAAGCCTCAGTTGTAAAATGGAAATAATTTCTACTGCAAAGGGAGCAAATGAGATAGAAGAAGTTATATATAAACTATAAAATGCCATAAGATATTATAGCTACAATTAAAGGTGCAGGCAAGACACAGAACACACGGCATGAAAATATAACACAGGCCAGTGTTCAAGAATCACTTGAACCCAGGAGGCAGAGGTTGCAGTGAGCCGAGATCACACCATTGCCCTCCAGCCTGGGTGACAGAGTGAGACTCCACCTCAAAAACAAACAAACAAAAACAACCCATAATACAAATAGCTGCACACAACTCCTGGTATGAGCATAGCAAGTGGGCCCCATCATTCTTCCCCCACCAGCTTTACTGACGTAAAATTGACAAAAATAATGAAGCTGAAGGGGCCCATTCAGTGTTTTTTTTTTTTTTTTTTTGAGACAGAATCTTTCTCTATCACCCAGGGTAGAGTGCACTGGTGTCATCTCCGCTCACTGCAACCTCCACCTCCTGGGTTCAAGCCATTCTCCTGCCTCAGCCCCCCAAGTAGCAGGGATTACAGGCGCCCGCTGCTACACCTGGCTAAGTTTGTATTTTTAGTAGAGATGGGGTTTCACCATATTGGCTGTTGGTTAGGCTGGTCTCGAACCCTTGACCTCAAGTGATCTGCCCGCCTCAGCTTCCCAAAGTGTTGGGATGACGGGCATGAGCCACTGCACCTGGCCAGGGGCCCATTCAGTCTTATCTGGCTCTTAACTCCCCCCGCAGTGACCTCAACCCTGTAGGCCACAGCATCGTTTCTGGAAATGCATGCAGAGGCCCCTGAGCATTGGCAGTGGGTGTCTTGGGTAACGCAGTTTCTTACGACAATGTTGGGTTTCGGGCTTTCCAGCCCTCAGATTAAGGGCGAGACAACTCACTGAGAATCGTGACTGATGGAAGAGGCCGACTGTATTAGTCAGTTATTGCTGTGTAACAAGATTACCTCCAAATGTAGTGGCTTTAAACAACGTTATTGTATCAGTTTCTGTGGGGCAGGAATCTGGGTGCCTCTTGGCCGGATGTCTCCGGCTTGGGGTCTCTCACAGAGGGAGGCACCTCAAGGCTCAACTGGGCTCCACCTGCTTCCAAGCACACTCATGTGGCTGGTAGCAGGACTCAGGTCCACCATGCTGTTGGGCGGAGACATCATTTCTTTCCGGAGGGCACCTTTCCTCAGGCAGCCCACACAACACTGCAGCTGGCTTTCCCCAGAGCAAGATCCCTGAGAGAAAGAGAGAGATAAAGAGAGATAAAGAGATAAAGGTGGTGACTCACACCTGTAATTCCAGCAATTTGGGAGGCGGAGGCAGGAGGATTGCCTGAGCCCAGGAGTTTGAGACCAGCTTGGGCAATATGGTGAGACCGTGTCTCTACAACAAATACAAAACTTAGCCAGGTGTAGTGGTGTGTGTCTGTGGTCCCAGCTACTCAGGAGGCTGAGGTGGGAGGATCACCTGAGCCTGGAGAGGCTGAGCCTGCAGTGAGCTGTGACTGCGCCACTGAGCTCCCGTCTGGGCAACAGAGTGAGACTGTGTCTCAAAAAAAAGACGAAAAGTAAAAAGTGTGTCACATGGAAACCAGAGCCTCCCCCATTCCCTCTTTCTCTCTCTTTCTCTGTCTCTTGCTAATAAATAGACTCTATTTTTGTATTTTTGAGACAGAGTTTCACTCTGTCGCCCAGGCTGGAGTGCAGTGGCAGGATCACGGCTCACTGCAGCCTCGACCTGCAGGCTGATGATCCTCCCACCTCAGGCTCCCGAGTAATTGGGACTCCAGGCACATGTTGCCAAGCACAGCTAATTTTTTTATTTTTTGTAGAGACAGGGTCTCACTATGTTGCCCAGGCTGGTCTTGAACTCCTAGACTCAAGTGGTTCTCATGCCTCAGCCTCCCGAAGTGTTGGGATTACAGGCGTGAGCCACCACACGCGGCCTTCGTACCTTATTATTAACTCAAGTCCATAGTTTACATGAGGGTTCACTCTTGGTGTACATTGTAAGGGTCTGGACAACTGTATAATGACATGTAACTCCCATCTTGGTCTCATACAGAATAGTCTCATTGCCCTAAATATCCCCGTCTCCACCTACCCATTGCTTCTCTTCCTCCTCCTGAACACAGTCTCTTTTTGTAACTTCCTCTTGGAAGTGACATCCCATCACTTTTGCCATATTCTATTCACTAGAAAGAGCCAACAGGTTCAACCCGCATTCAAGAGACGAGCATGAATACCAGGAGGCAGAGATCCTTGGGGGCCATTTACCACGCCAACCGCATAAAGGCGGCCACAGCCCTGAGCTTGTCTTCCTGTGGGGCCCATGGTGGATGTTCACGAGGCTCACGCAGGAGCGCCTTGTTCCTGAGTCTCAAACCACTACCTGTGTGTGTACGAAGCATCTCGGTGCCAGGAAACCCAGAGTCTTCTCATGCTGGGGGTCTCCTATTCTGAGTTGGTCATGTGGGCACATTCTAGCTACGTGACTAGCTTTAAAGGTGGAAACTCAGGTGTCACCAAAACCAGGTGCAAATCGTAACCCCAAATGTTATTACTGAACAGTGCTGAAGGTTGCCACACTCTGCTCCAAAACAACTCACGGGCCCATGATTACAGAGCATTGTTTGTCTTTATGGATTCCATAGCAATGTCCAAGGGTCTGTAGTCTTGGAGATAAGCATGTAGTCAATTCAGGTCAATTGAGATGGACTCAAGCCCTATGAGCCACTCCCATGACCCTTGGTCAGAGGCTTTTAAAAATATATATCTTTTTTTTGAGACAGGGTCTTGCTCTGTCACCCAGGCTGATTGTGCAGTGGCACAATCTTGGCTCACTGCAACCTCTGCCTCCCAGGCTCAAGCGATCCTCCTACCTCAGGCTCCCAAGTAGCTGGGACTACTTGGGATAATTTTTGTATATTTTGTAGAGATGGGGTTTTGCTATGTTACCTAGGCCGGTCTCTTAACTCCTGGACTTGAGCAATCCACTTGCCTCAGCCTTCCAGAGTGCTGGGATTACAGGCATGAGCCACGGCGCCTCACCAAAAATGAATCATTCTTGATAGGTCATTGGATGGGGTATAAAACATTTAAAAAGTGAAAATTAAAAGGAATCATTCTTCATTTGGAAAGCAATGGACAAACCTGTTCTACTTATCGTCTCTTAGGGAATCACTCTATATTCTACACAGACTCTGGATTGGCCGGGCACAGTGGCTCATGCCTGTAATCCCAGCACTTTGGAAGGCTGAGGCGGGCCGATCGCTTGAGCTCAGGAGTTTGAGACTAGCCTCTCTACCAAAAAATACAAAAATTAGCCAGTCATAGTGGTGTGCGCCTGTAGTCCCAGCTACTCAGGAAGCTGAAGGGGGAGGATCGTTTGAGCTTAGGGGGTGGAGGTTGCGGTAAGCCTAGATCATGCCACTGCACTCCAGCCTCTGTGACAGAACCAGACCCTGTCTCAAAGAGAGGAGAGAGAGAGACAGAGACATTCTGGATACATTCTTTTTCTTTCTTTCTTTCTCTTTCTTTTCCTTCCTTCCTTCCTTTCCTTCCTTTTCTTCCTTTCCGTTTCTTTCTTTCCTTCCTTCCTTCCTTTTCTTCCTTTCCCTTTCTTTTTTTTTTTCTTTTTTGCTGGAATCTCGCTTTGTTGCCCAGGCTGGAGTGCAAGTGGCGTGATCTCAGCTCACGGCAGCGTCTGCCTCCCAGGTTCAAGTGATTCTCCCACCTTAGCCTCCCAAGTGGCTGGGACTACAGGTGCGTGCCACCACGCTGGTTAATTTTTGTATTATCAGTACAGACAGGGTTTCATCATGTTGGCCAGGCTGGTTTCAAACTCCTGACCTTAAGTGATCCTCCTGCCTTGGCCTCCCAAAGTGCTGGGATTACAGGCATGAACCACTGCGCCCAGCCAGATTCTGGATAGATTCTGTAACAATCTGTTTAGTTCATGCGTCCTGTTGGGCTGCCCTGCCCCGCTCCACGTTCTAGGTCTCTGTAGCCATCAAACACTGCATTCACCTGGCTGCTGGGATGTCCTGCCCCGCTCCACGTTCTAGGTCTCTGTAGCCATCAAACACTGCATCCTGTTGGGCTGCCCTGCCCTGCTCCACGTTCTAGGTCTCTGTAGCCATCAAACACTGTATTCGCCTGGCTGCTACGATTAGTCCACTGATGGACATATGACCCCTGCCAGGCCAGAGACCTTCTTGGGATTGATACGGACACTGGATACGGACAGAGGAGTAACTCTCTTTTCCTTACAAAATTATAAGGATATCAGTGGCTGTCTTTGTCATCCTGTGATGAGAACCTGCCTGAACATAAAGCTGATATGGAGGAGGCAGAGGTGAAATACGCAGAGAGAGACATTTTGATGACACAGTGTGACCTCCTGGATCCAGCCATGACTGAAGCCACAGGCAACCCTGGACTGTTGGCTTTATAAGTCAACCATTCCGGCCAGGCGTGGTAGCTCACGCCTGTAAATCCCAGCACTTTGGGAGTCCGAGGCGAGTGGATCACTTGAGGTCAGGAGTTCTAGACCAGCCTGGCCAACATGGTGAAACCCCATCTCTACTAAAACTACAAAAATTAGCCGGGCGTGGTGGCACATGCCTGTAATCCCAGCTACTCAGGAGGCTGAGGCAGGAGAATCGCTTGAACCCAGAAGGCGGAGGTTGTGGTGAGCCAAGATGGTGCTTTGCACTCCAGCCTGGGTGACGAGAGTGAAACTCCATCTCAAAAAAAAAAAAAAAAGAAAAAGAAAAAAAAAGTCAACCATTCCCCTTGGTCTGTAAGGTGGTTTTCACTGTGGTTTGTTTCTTGCCCTGAAGGAGTCCTCACTGCTACAGCCTGGGTGTGAGGAAGATATGCAAACTTCGAACCCAAGGTGTTCTGAGTTGAAGCTACTTGTGTGTTCCAGGAACCTTCACCCCACCTGCTTTCTATCATTATACGTTAAGCACCGGCCTTCAGGGCCCCGGCTTCCTTCCTGCTCCACTCTCTCCTGCTCCGGGGCCCCCGTCATTTGTTCTCTGTGTGTGAATTCTCTCTCTTGGCCAGCCACTGAAGCCAGATTTCGTTTGTGAAGCTGACCCTTCCAGGAGGTAAGGTCTACACCATTACTCGGGACAGTCTCTCTAGCAGACATGTGGCCACGTCAACCTGAAATACCACTGATGAAAACTCGTAGTTTGTTTCCTGGGTGCCAGGCGCCATGCTAGATGCCTCATTGCACTCGATTCTCACAGCACTAAGGCAGGAATTTGCAGTCCGGTTTTCAGATGAGGTAACTAAGGCTCGGAGAGGTGAAGCAATCTGCCAGGGGCCACAGTGCTAGCATGTGGTGGGAAAGAGGTGAATTCAGCTCTGGTGTCAAAGCTCGCCATCTTAGCTACTTTCCCAGAATGTTACCTCGCAGCTGGGAGATGACCACAGCCCCCACCCCTGCCTCTCACCGCCATGGAAGGCGCTGCTAAGCGACCGTCTCAGCCCAGTGCACCCTCACACTCCTCTGTGCCCCAGGCTCCAGCCACTGTGGTAGACCCGGAGGGCACATGAGATGCCAGCCCCGTGGCTGCCCTCTGTTCTGTCTCTGCCTTTAATACCCTGGGGCACAAGCGAGGTCCTGTGGCTGGCACTGGAGTATTTCCTGCCCCTTCCTCTCCATGGAGAGCAGAGGACAGGCCTGGCCTCAGCACAGGGAGGCCCGTTCCTGTCTGCTAACCATTCTCCATGGCAGGAGAGGACTCTTCCAAATGTCTCTTCAGTATATTTTGACAGGGTGCAAGGGCAAATGTGGAAACTGTAACTGGCCTTTTAAGGAAGGGTCAGAAGAGGGCTGCTCTGCCAGCCCAGAGCTAGCAGGGACCACGATGCCCACTTAACTTTTTTTTCTTTTTTCGGACAGAGTCTTGCTCTGTTGCCCAGGGTGGAGTGCAGTGGCACCATCTTGGCTCTGCCACCTCCGCCTCCTGGGTTCAAGCGATTCTCCTGCCTCGGCCTCCTGAGGAGCTGGGACTACAGGCACCTGCAACCATACCTGGTTAATTCTGTACTTTTACCAGAGACAGGGTTTCACCATATTAGCCAGGCTGGTCTCGAATGCCCGACCTCAGATGATCCACCTGCCCCAGCCTCCCAGTGTTGGGATAATAGGCCTGAGCCACTGCGCCCAGCCATTTTCACTTAACTTTCAAATGAGCATTCTGTGATGTCTGTATCGGCTTTAACCTCTCCTGTGTACAGTGTACATTCATTTTTTGTCTACCCCAGAACACTGTAACCTCTTGAAGGTCAGGAATCTCATCTTAGCCCTCCATGCTGTCCCTCTCAGACCCACGGTGTTGCTGAGGTAGCTGAGGCTTCCCCAGAGACCACCCTTTTCCTTTGGACCTTTCAGCTAGAAATGCCAGGAGAGACACACACACACACACACACACACACACACACACACACACCTTTCAGCTAGAAATGCCAGGACACACACACACACACACACACACACACACACAACCTTTCAGCTAGAAATGCCAGGACACACACACACACACACACACACACACACACACACACACGACCAGCCCTCGGCCAATGCCTTTGGGGAGTATAAATACCCCAGCTTCCTCACCCCCAGGTGGGATAATTCTAGAAGTGGGTTTCCCTGTGGAATTAAGCCCAGTATGAAAGCTGGCCTAATAGTCCCTGGAAGGGGGGCCAGACACAGTGGCTCATATGCCTGTAATGTTGTGGAAGGCCAAGGTGGGAGGACTGCTTGAGGCCAGGAGTTCGAGACCAGCCTGGGCAACATAGTGAGACCACACCCCCTCCAATCTCTACAAAAAATTTTTAAAATTAGCCAGGCGTGGTGGCACTCACCTATAGTCCCTGCTACTTAGGGGGCTGAGGCGGGAGGATCATCTGAGCCCACGAGGTGGAGTGCAGTGAGAGCTATGATTTCGCCACTGGTACTCCAGCCTGGGCAACAGAGCGGGATCCTGTCTAAAAAGAAAAGTCCCAGGATTGGCCGTCTTCCCTTCTCTGTATCACCCTCTACTCATCCTTTCTTCACCTCCCAGATAATCTACTTGCATTTGAACCCTCGTCTCAGGGGCTGCTTCTGGGAGAGCACAAACGACGACAGCACGTGGCCCTCACTCACTGGCTACTTGTGGAGGGGAGGAATGTGTATTTAGGAGACGCGGCGTAGCGAGGCTTTTTATAATGGAGGATTAGGAGAGGACCATGTTTATGAAAGAAGCAGTATTCCTCTTGGGACTTCCCATGGTAACTTCCCAGGGATGGAGTTCTGGAACCCACTTATTTGAGGCCATATAAAGGCAGGCCATGCATTTAATTAAAACAGAAAAAGGCTCCAAGAGGTTCAGGGCATCGTCCTCCGGCCAACAGAAGCAGGTACCGTGTGAGGAGTTTCACCATGAGATTGAGACTTAAGAGGTAAATCATCTACACGCTTTCTTTTCTTTTTGGGGCAGATTATAGACATCTAGCTGTGGTGAGAAATTAAGTAACAGAGATGCTTACTTAAGAAAAAGGAAATTCTGAAAAGAACTCTGTTCACTAAATTGCTTATGTTCTCAAGGCACTGTGGCTCTCCTGGGCAACCGAGGGCAGCTTGGTGATGGGAGAGTCGGCGTCGTCCGTGTACCGAACATCTGTTTCCTTCAGATACGGGTCTCATTTCCTTTTATGATGATGGTTTTTAACACATAAACTTGTGGTGAGGAGGAATTATAAGTTTGTGAGCGTCGTGGGTAGATTTTCACTCCAGCAGAGTAGGAGCTAAGTCAGAGTGTAGAAGCTTTGGGGTAAGGTTTCCTTCAAAACAGAGATTGGGGCACTCGGCTTTCGACGTGGGCTGCCTGTGGCTGGAGCTGCCATCTTTGTCCGAGAGGTAGGGTAAGTTCTCAGGGGCCTCCTCGGCATTGGGGTCAGTGTGGAAGCCCTTGAGGGCCTCGGGGTCGGGGTGGAAGCCCTTGAGGGCCTCGGGGTCGGGGTGGAAGCCCTTGAGGGCCTCGGGGTCGGGGTGGAAGCCCTTGAGGGCCTTGGGGTCGGGGTGGAAGCCCTTGAGGGCCTCGGGGTCAGTGTGGAAACCCTTGAGGGCCTTGGGGTCGGGGTGGAAGCCCTTGAGGGCCTTGGGGTCGGGGTGGAAGCCCTTGAGGGCCTCGGGGTCAATGTGGAAACCCTTGAGGGCCTCGGGGTCAGTGTGGAAACCCTTGAGGGCCTCAGGGTCGGGGTGGAAGCCCTTGAGGGCCTCGGGGTCGGGGTGGAAGCCCTTGAGAGCCTCGGGGTCGGGGTGGATGCCCTTGAGGGCCTCGGGGTCGGGGTGGAAGCCCTTGAGGGCCTCGGGGTCGGGGTGGAAGCCCTTGAGGGCGTCGGGGTCGGGGTGGAAGCCCTTGAGGGCCTCGGGGTCGGGGTGGAAGCCCTTGAGGGCCAAGCACCGGTACCGTTTTCTCCGATTCAGTTTATAGATGCGAATCCTTTCCTTCTCTGCCTCCGGGTCAGCAAGAATTCCATCCCAACGCAGACTTTCGTTGATCCGATTCGCAAGGTTCTCTATTTCGGCAAAGTCGGGGAGGCTGACGGTGGAGGAGTCAGAAGGGAGGTGCTTCTTTTCCACTTTGCTCTGTCTGTGCTCTGGTTTCGGGCCACGCTCTTTGCAAGGACTTAAGATGTCATGAAAGGAGGAAGAAAGCGGCTGGCTCTTCAGGCTCTGACTCTGATGTTTATCTGCTGAGTAGATGAGCAGGTTAGTGTTTGTGGCAATGTCTGACCTTGGCCTGCTGGGGATGGTGCCAAAATCACCCAAGATGGAAGAGGAGGATGGGGGCCCCTCCGTACCCAGGGCTCAGGCTGCCAAGCCCACCAGCCTCGTGCCCACCTGCCTGTGTGATTTTGCTGAAATCATTTCAGGGCAGGAGGAACCATTCATTGAGCACACAGTCTGAGCCAGGCCGTCTGGGTAAAGGCGATCGGCCCTATTCTTCGGGTGAGGAAACCGAAGCTCCAAAAGGTTCAGGAACTTGCCAATGTCATGAGCGAGTGGCAGAGCTGGGACCTGAGTGCAGGCTGGGCCCCCAATGCCCCATTCTTTCCACTGGGCCGTGCTGCCCTCATCCATCCTCGCCATGTGCTCACCACGGCCATTCCCAGTTCTGGGAGTCTGTGACTCTACCCTAGTCTAGACACTTTATGATGGAAGGAACGGAAAACAACAGAAAAGCTTCCTAAATTTGACTGAAAGCAGTATTATGCCAAGCCAGAAATACTTCTGCTGTATGGCTTGTACTGATTTTTTTTTTTAACATCAATAGCACTTCAGAATTATTTAACATGCACATAAAATGCTACAAATTGTGGTTCTTTCATCAGCTCGTCCTTTTATTTTAGGGGAGAGAGAAAGAAATCATCTTTTGACATTTCCCTCCCTTGCTACGCCCTGGAAACTATCTGGTGCCCCCTGCTGATGGTATGAGGCACATGTCACTGTAATTTCTACAGTGAAAAGCTACGCCAAAAGGACAATGAACTGCCAAATTTCTTTTTGCAGATACACACAGGGCTTTTTTTTTTTTTGAGACTGAGTCTCACTCTGCCACCCAGGCTGGAGCACAGTGGCACAATCTTGGCTCACTGCAACCTCCGCCTCTCAGGTTCAAGCAATTCTAGGTGCCTGCCACCATGCCCAGCTAATTTTTGTATTTTCAGTAGAGACGGGGTTTCACCATGTTGGCCAGGCTGGTCTTGAATTCCCAAAGTGCTGGGATTACAGGCGTGAGCCATGTGCCCAGCCACACAGGGCTTCTTGACCTGAACTGCAGAATTTTCTTGCCTTTGTATTACGCCTGAGAAGTACTTATCATCTTCCCATTGCTCCCTTCCCACACTGCACGGTCCATATGGGCGAGGCTGCCACTCTGCCTCCTGCTTGCCTTGGTGCCAGCTCTGCCACAGAGGGCCAGGCCCCAGAACTGGAGCTTAGAGCCCTCTCCCAGACAGCCAAAGCCACTGAGGTGGACCACACGGGCGACAGTGGCCTCACAGCACTCACGGGCACCTGCATTCTCTGTCACTGCTGTGCTCTCTCTCCTCAAAGTGGGTGCTCAGTCCCCTTGTCAAGAAATGTAGGGGTTCTACAAGAAGAGCTTGGTGAGATGTAGGGACTGGGGTTTATGGCAGGTAGGGTATGTGTGTTTGTGAAGGTGTCCCTGAGAGAGACTGCAATTCCTGCCTGCATATGACTACACACGCGAATGGATAACGTATTAACAGTCTGTGTGTGTAGACTAGGAATGTGTGTGCATGAGGGGGATCTGTGCTTTAGTTTTCTTGTTTGTTTTTTTGAGAGACAGGGTCTTGCTTGTTGCCCAGGCTGGAGTGCAATGGTGCGATCATAGCTCACTGCAGCCTGGAAGTCCTGGGTTCAAGTGATCCTCCCACCTCGGCCTCCCAAAGTGCTCGGATTACAGGTGTGAGCCACTGCGTCCCGCCCTTTAGTTTCACTGTTGGTGTTACATTGATAGAAGGTGGGGGGAGTGGTTGAGGGTGTCCCCCGCCCTTTAGTTTCACTGTGGGTGTTACACTGATATGAAGCGGGGAGTGGTTGAGGGTGTCAGGGATTATAGGAGGATGTCACAGTGACTGGTGTCATGGGGTTTGTGCAGTCCAAGGCTGCCCCTTGGTGGGTGCGAGGGGGAGCCCATGCAGCGAGGACCTTTAATACACACGTCTGTGGGTGTGGGTGTCTACCGCGCATCCACAGGCAGGCAGCCTTAACGCAAGAGGGTGGGAGGAGGGGAGGCAGGAGTCTGCCCTTCTCTGTGCATGAGAGTGAGGGCCTTTCATGTGGCATCAATGTGTTTGGGGTGGGGAAAGTGTCTTGTGAGGAGGGCCTCTGTGGGGAAGGCGCAGACGTTTAAGACTGCCAGTTTTGGCTGAGGGATTAGGAAGTTGAGAGGGTGTCTTTGTGTGGGGCTGGAAGGCTCTTAGGAATGGTGGATATCTGTAGGGGTCTCTGTGTGGGGCTAAGGGACCGCAGAGTTGGTGGATGGTCTCCACGGGTGGGGCTGGGGCATCAACGTGCTGCTGACGGGCATGTGTGGGGAGCAGGAGGACCTCGGTCCGGGACCACTGAGCTTCTGTTTCCGGTCTGAAGGGTAAATGGGGGGTGGGTCCCCAAAGAGTCTCCAGGGAACCGGAGCTGACGCAGCCGGGCTAGCTGCTCCTCTTACCGTCCCCCTTGCCAGACCCCTTGGTCTTCTTCTTCCTTTTTTTCTTCTTCACCTTCCGTTTGGCCAGCTCGGAGGCGCCGCCTGTGATGGGGGGCAGTCTAGACCCCCGCGGGCCCGCGGCGCCGCCCTCCCGCTCCTCCTCCTCGCCGTCGTTGTCCTTGTACCCCATTGTCCCCGCCCCACCGCGGCGGTCCAGCCGCCCGCTGGGCTGCAACCCAACCCGCCCCGGGGGCGCCCGAGGCCCGATGCCGACTAATCGGCGACTCTCAGCGCGGACCGCCAGGCCAGGGCCACGCGTCTCCATGGCGACCACCCCTGCTGCGCCTGCGCAGTCAGGACGCTTCCGCCCGGTGCCCCACGGACCGCGGTGTGCGCATGCGTGCTTCCGTCTTTTGGCGACCTTGGCACACAGCGGTGTGCGCATGTGTGCTTCTGTCGGGGATCTCGAGAACAGAGCGTTGTGCGCATGCGTACATCTGTCGGAGTGCTAGGTACGCAGCGGTGCGCGCATGCGTGCTTCCATCTGTTGGCGATACCGGCACAGCGATGTGCGCATGCGTGCTTCTGTCTGCGGAGACCTCCGCGCATAGAAGTGTGCGCATGCGTGCGTCTGTCGGAAACCTCCGCACACAGAGGTGTGCGCATGCGTGCTTCTGTCGGGGACCGCGGCGCACGGTGGTTCGCCCATGCTTGCTTTTGTCTGTTGGAATCTGGACAGTTGACCGCAGGAAGGGGAGGGTGGGCAGAGAGATTTTAAATCCCTGGGCTGACACTCATCTCGTCCAGTCCCGTGCCTCGATCCTCCTGCCTTGGCCTCCCATCCCCACGCCTGGCTAAGAGTTTTGATTTTTGGTTTCAGGCTGGTCTC
Organism: Homo sapiens; assembly: GCF_000001405.40. NCBI lineage: Eukaryota > Metazoa > Chordata > Mammalia > Primates > Hominidae > Homo > Homo sapiens. Next base: position 409,778 of record NC_000017.11, on the reverse strand, counting down.
GAACTCCTGGGCTCCATCGATCTTCCCGCCTCGGCCTCCTAGATCGCTGGGATCACAGGCATGAGCCTCCGTGCTCGGCCTCCTGTACCTTTTTAAATGCTGTGTATTCTCCCCTCAATTTTTATTGCCTGAGTTTCAGCCTCGTACATCTACCCTGGACTCTCAAAGCCAATGTGTCCAAAACAAACTTACTTCTTCATGGTTTTCCACTTTAGTGAACAAAACCGCTGGACTGGCTGGAAACCTGGTGGGCTTCCGTGTCCCCTACCCTCTCCCTTGTCCCTTACCCAGGCTGGGGCCGACTGCCGTGTCTGGCACTGGGACTTCTGGGTCCTCTCCTGAATGGTCTCTGCTTTCAAACCTTCCCCACGAACTCTTTTTCCGCACAGCTGCTAGAACAAACTTTTAAAAACAACCAAACCGTTCACTCTCTTGCTAAAAGTCTCCAGTGATGAAAAACAAAACATAAAAAGCCAAAAAGTCCTCCATTGCTTCCTCATCACAATTTACATCAAGATCTAAACTCTTGTGGGGCTCTGTGCAGGGCTGACACCCGTAGTCCCAACACTTTGGGAGGTCAAGGTGGGTGGATCGCTTGAGCCCATTCTGGGCAACGTAGTGAGACCCCATCTCTACAAAAAATTAACCAGCTGCGCTGAGGGGCACTTGTGGAGGAACTTGAGCCTGCAGTGAGCCGAGATCGCACCACTGCTGTCCAGCCTGGGTAACAAAGCAAGACTTTCTCTCTCTTTTTTTTTTTTTGGGAGACAGAGCCTTCCTCTGTTGCCCAGGCTGGAATGCAGTGGCGTGAACGTGACTCACTGCAACCTCTGCCTCTCAGGTTCAAGTGATTCTTCTGCCTCAGCCTCCCTAGTAGCTAGGACTACAGGTGCGTGCCACCACGCCTGGCTGATTTTTTATTTTTTATTTTTTGTATTTTTAGTAGAGACGGGGTGTCACCATATTGGCCAGGCTGGTCTCGAACACCTGACCTTGTGATCCGCCTACCTCGGCCTCCCAAAGTGCTGGGACTACAGGCTTGAGCCACCACGCCCGGCCTCTGTGTCTTAAAAAAAAAAATAACAAAGTGTGGCTTACAAGGCCTGGTATGATGCATCACCTGCTTTTCTTTCTAGGTTTACCCTCCACAGATTGTATTATCTGAAAATGGCTGCAGAGGCTGGGCATGGTGGCTCACGCCTGTAATCCCAGCACTTTGGGAGGCCGAGGTGGGTGGATCACTTGAGGTCAGGAGTTTGAGACCAGCCTGGCCAACATGGAGAAACCCCGTCTCTACTAAAAATACAAAAATTAGCTGGGCATGGTGGTGGGTGCATGTAATCCCAGCTATTTGAGAGGCTGAGGCAGGAGAATCACTTGAACCCAGGAGGTAGAGGTTGCAGTGAGCTGAAATTGCATCACTGCACTCCAGCCTGGGTGACAGGGCAAGGCTCCATCTCAAAATAAAATAAAATGATAAAATAAAATAAAACTGCTGTGCTCCAGCCTGGGTGACAGAGCAAGACTCCATCTCAAAATAAAATAAAATGATAAAATAAAACTGGCTGCAGTAATATCTCTTGTCCCACATACTCTTCAAGAATCTTGCCATTCCCATGGCAAGACGCAGAGTCTCATTCCGCTCTCCTTCAATTTAAGGGGTTTGTTGACTCGCTTGTAACCAATAGTATGTGGCAGAAGTGCCTCTGTGTGACTTCTCAGGCTAGGTCCTAAAGGGAATGCAGCATCCATCCATCTTCTTAGCCCATGACGTGCTTGCTGTAGAGTCCTGAGCCTCCCATTGAGAAGTCTGAGGACCCCAAGGCTGTCACACCTTGATAAATCCCCACCTAGTCCACGTGGAGAGCCTCTAAGATGTATGGAGAGAAAGATGCCTCAGCTCCTCCAGCCCCCACTTTTCCCATCCAGCTATCGTCCTGCAGCAGCAGCAGGAGAGACCCCAGGCCAGCCCCAAGCAGACAAGCCTTTCCTGAATTCCTGACCCAAAGAAGCTGTGAGAGAAAATACAATGGTTGTAGTTATTTAAGTTACGAAGGTTTGGAGTGATGTGTTATGCAACAGTAGATAACCAAATGTGTCTTTTTAAAAAGATATGGAATGGTATTTTATCTTTTATTTAATTTCAACTTTTATTTTAGATTCGGGGGGTACATGTGCAAGTTTGTTACATGAGTACACTGAGTGATGGTACATGACTCATGAGTACAATGTACATGAGTACATTGAGGTTTGGGGTATGGGTGATCCCGTCACCCAGGTGGTGAGTACAACACCCAACAGTAGTTTCTCAGTCCACATCTTCCAGCCCCTCCTCCCTCTAGTAGTCCCCATTACCCATTGAAAAATCAGCCTTTGATTTTAGCCACTCTAGTGGGTAAGAAGTTGTATTTCTCTGTGGTTTTGAATTGAATTCCCTTGGTGATTAACGAAGTCAAGAACTCTTGAAAGTGCTTTCTGGTCATTTGTGTATATATATATATATATGTATATATATATATATATTTTTTTTTTTTGAGATGGAGTCTTGCTGTGTGGTCTGGGCTTCCATGCAGTGGCACAATCTCCACTCGATGCAGCCTCTGCCTTCTGGGTTCAAGCAATTCTCCTCCCTCAGCCTCCTGAGTAGTTGGGATTACAGGCATGCACCACCACACCTGGCTAATTTTTGTATTTTTAGTAGAGACGGGGTTTCACCATATTGGCCAGGCTGCTCTCAAATTCCTGACCTCAGGTGATCCACCCGCCTCGGCCTCCCAAAGTGCTGAGTTTACAGGTGTGAGCCACTGCGCCCGGCCTGTCATTTGTATATCTTTAAGTGTCTTTTGAAGTCTTTTGGCCATTCTGTAATGTGGTTGTTTATTGTTGATTTGTTGTTTGTTGTTGATGTCTTTGCACAACTTGAATATAAGTGTTTTGTCAGCTTTATGACTGCAAAGATTTTTTTTCCAGGTCTGTAACTTATCCATTTTCTGAATGTGGTGTCTTTGGATAAGCAGAAATTTGAAATTCTGATAAATAATTTTTTTCAATTTTCAATTCATTTGATCAGTTTTTTCTTTTTGTATTGTGTCCAAGGATGCTTTGCCTGCCCCATATTGCAAAGACAGTGTGCTATGCTATCTTCTAGAAGCTTTATAGTTCTGGTTTTAGGTTAGGTTCATGATCTACTTCAAATTTATTATTATTTTTTGAGATGGAGTTTCGCTCTTGTCGCCCAGGCTGGAGTGCAGTGGCGTGATCTCAGCTCACTGCAACCTCTGCCTCCCGGATTTAAGCAATTCTCCTGCCTCAGCCCCCAAGTAGCTGGGATTACAGGCATGCACAAACATGCCAGGCTAATTTTGTATTTTTAGTAGAGGCAGGGTTTTACCACGTTGGCCAGGCTGGGCTTGAACTCCTGACCTCAAGTGATCCGCCCGCCTCGGCCTCCCAGAGTGCTGGGATTATAGGTGTGAGCCACCGCACCTGGCCTACCTCAAATTGATTTTGTGAATAAAGTCACATATAGGAGTCACATTTATTTTTTCCCAAATCGATTTCCAGTTTTTCCAGGAACTTCCATTGAAAAGACATTCCTTTTCCCATTGACTTGACTTGGTACTTTTCATTACGATTTTTAAAAATTTTTTTGGGATGGAGTTTCACTCTGTGGCCCAGGCTGGAGTGCAGTGGTACGATCTCGGCTCACTGCAACCTCCACTTCCCAGGTTCAAGTGGTTCTTCTGCCTCAGCCTCCTGAGTAGCTGGCACTACAGGTGCGTGCCACCATACCTGGCTAATTTTTTTTTTTTTTGTATTTTTAGTAGAGATGGGGCTTCACCATTTTGGCCAGGCTGGTCTCAAACTCCTGACCTCAAGTGATCCACCTGCCTCAGCCTCCCAAAGTGCTGGGATTACAGGCGTGAGTCACCACAGCTGGTCATTTCTGATTTTCTTTTCTTTTCTTTTCTTTTTTTGAGACAGGGTCTCACTGTTTTGCCCAAGCGGGTCTCAAATCTCTGGGCTCAAGTGATCCTCCTACCTTGGCCTCCCAAAGCATTGGGATTACAGGCATGAGCCACCATACCCAGCCTGACTTGGTATTTTTGTAGAAAATGAGTTAACTATGTGTTTGTCAATCTATTTCTGGACTCTGTTTTGTTCTGTTGTTCTGTCTATCCTTTGATCAATACCACATCATCTTGACTTATCATCTTGTATCTTTATGGTAAATCTTTTTTTTAAAAAAATACAAATAAAAAATAGAGATGGATTATCAGTATGTTCCCCAGGCTGGTCTCAAACTCCTGAGCTCACGTTGTCCTCCCGCCTTTGCCTTCCAAAATGCTGGGGTTACAGGCGTGAGCCGCCGTGCCCGGCCCATGGTAAATCTTGATGTCACGTAGTGTAAGTCTTCCAACTGTGTTATTTTTGAAGATTGTTTGGACGATTCTAGAGCCGTTGCTTTTCCATATACATTTTCAAATCTTCTGGTTTACTTCTTAAAATCCCCTTTGAGATTTTGATGGGGATTGCATCAAATCTATAAATCTGTCAGTACTGAGTAAATGACAGTCATTGGTGTGTGCGGACGCATTGCTCTATAAGGGGCCCTTCTGTTAGTAGGACGTGTGTCCTCGGTCTTCCCATCCCCTGGCAAGCTCCCTGATGTGTCCAGCACAGCTCGGCATGCAGAGTGTGCGGTATCTGCCTCTTGCCTGTCTGCTTTTGTCCTTAGAAGCTAAGTGAAATACAAATGGCAGAAGGCCTTCGTGGAAATGATCAGCTACCATCGGTCTCTCTGGGGTTTGCATTTCAGATGCCCTTTCATGCTCACCCTGGTACTTGCAGACAGGTGCTTGGAAAGGCTGGCTGCCCTCCTGCCCGTCTTCCCTCTCAGCTGGTCCTTCTTGCCTCAATGCTTACTTGGCAGGAGACAGTTTGATCATTTCTCTTCTGATTTTAGTGAAGGTTGTGTCGAGGTTATGTTGAGCCAGCCAGTGAGCTATGAAAGAGAAAAGTCACCTCAAGCAAAGGGATGCATTTTATGAATGCGTTTCATAAATAATCATAAAAAGGCCATGCAAGGAAAGCTAATCTAAATGTTTACAGGTATTTTAATTGTGCATCATTCCATTTGGTCTCCTTTGCAGTCTCTGTCTCCTCACTGACCCATCCCTTCTCAGCCCACTACAGTTGTAGTTCTGGCACCATCGTGCCATCAAAGCCGCTTTACAACGTCACCACTGTCCTTCCAAGCCATCGAACGTCACCACTGTCCTTCCAAGCCATCGAACGTCACCACTGTCCTTCCAAGTCATCGAGCGTCACCACTGTCCTTCCGAGCCATCGAGCGTCACCAGTGTCCTTCCGAGCCATCGAGCGTCACCAGTGTCCTTCCGAGTCATCGAGCGTCACCACTGTCCTTCCGAGCCATCGAGCGTCACCACTGTCCTTCCGAGCCATCGAGCGTCACCACTGTCCTTCCGAGCCATCGAGCGTCACCACTGTCCTTCCGAGCCATCGAGCGTCACCAGTGTCCTTCCGAGCCATCGAGCGTCACCACTGTCCTTCCGAGCCATCGAGCGTCACCACTGTCCTTCCGAGCCATCGAGCGTCACCAGTGTCCTTCCGAGCCATCGAGCGTCACCAGTGTCCTTCCGAGCCATCGAGCGTCACCAGTGTCCTTCCGAGCCATCGAGCGTCACCACTGTCCTTCCGAGCCATCGAGCGTCACCACTGTCCTTCCGAGCCATCGAGCGTCACCACTGTCCTTCCGAGCCATCGAGCGTCACCAGTGTCCTTCCGAGCCATCGAGCGTCACCACTGTCCTTCCGAGCCATCGAGCGTCACCACTGTCCTTCCGAGCCATCGAGCGTCACCACTGTCCTTCCGAGCCATCGAGCGTCACCACTGTCCTTCCGAGCCATCGAGCGTCACCACTGTCCTTCCGAGCCATCGAGCGTCACCACTGTCCTTCCGAGCCATCGAGCGTCACCACTGTCCTTCCGAGCCATCGAGCGTCACCAGTGTCCTTCCGAGCCATCGAGCGTCACCACTGTCCTTCCGAGCCATCGAGCGTCACCACTGTCCTTCCGAGCCATCGAGCGTCACCACTGTCCTTCCGAGCCATCGAGCGTCACCAGTGTCCTTCCGAGCCATCGAGCGTCACCACTGTCCTTCCGAGCCATCGAGCGTCACCACTGTCCTTCCGAGCCATCGAGCGTCACCACTGTCCTTCCGAGCCATCGAGCGTCACCAGTGTCCTTCCGAGCCATCGAGCGTCACCACTGTCCTTCCGAGCCATCGAGCGTCACCACTGTCCTTCCGAGCCATCGAGCGTCACCACTGTCCTTCCGAGCCATCGAGCGTCACCAGTGTCCTTCCGAGCCATCGAGCGTCACCACTGTCCTTCCGAGCCATCGAGCGTCACCACTGTCCTTCCGAGCCATCGAGCGTCACCACTGTCCTTCCGAGCCATCGAGCGTCACCAGTGTCCTTCCGAGCCATCGAGCGTCACCAGTGTCCTTCCGAGCCATCGAGCGTCACCAGTGTCCTTCCGAGCCATCGAGCGTCACCACTGTCCTTCCGAGCCATCGAGCGTCACCACTGTCCTTCCGAGCCATCGAGCGTCACCACTGTCCTTCCGAGCCATCGAGCGTCACCACTGTCCTTCCGAGCCATCGAGCGTCACCAGTGTCCTTCCGAGCCATCGAGCGTCACCAGTGTCCTTCCGAGCCATCGAGCGTCACCACTGTCCTTCCGAGCCATCGAGCGTCACCAGTGTCCTTCCGAGCCATCGAGCGTCACCAGTGTCCTTCCGAGCCATCGAGCGTCACCAGTGTCCTTCCGAGCCATCGAGCGTCACCAGTGTCCTTCCGAGTCATCGAGCGTCACCAGTGTCCTTCCGAGCCATCGAGCGTCACCAGTGTCCTTCCGAGTCATCGAATCCAGTGGACAACCTTTGTCCTTGTTGTCCCTGACCTGCCAGCAACATTTGACACTCCTGACCACTCTTTCCTTCTTGAAATGTTGTATCTGCCCGGCTTTTGGGACACCATCCTCGTGATTCTAGGCCATTCCGCCTCCTTTGCACATAAACCTTCCCTTCTAAAGGGAATGTCGAGAAGCCTCTGAATGTTGGTGTTTTCCGAGCTTGGCCTAAGGACTCTGTTCTTGAAGCTCTGTCTGTATATTAAGGTATTCTCATCTACATTCACAGCTGCAATCATGTCCTACATGCTGATGACTTCTAATTTTCTATCCTTAGCCAACAGCCCATCTATCCAGCATCCAACCCAGTCTCCCATCTTGCTCACACATCCCTGGCACAGGGACTGTTGGCTGCTGTGTTGGTTGTTGTGTTTGTTTGAGTTCCCCCAAATGCAAACTCTAAGACTAGGAATTGAGTGCAGAGTTTATCTGCGAGAGGGTCTTAGGAAACACGGGTGGAGGAGTGGGCAAGTGAGACAGGGAAGGCAGGACAGTTAATAAAGTTTTCATTATCCTGCCAGCTACCTCTGTGCTCAACCACAGCTCAGTCCTCTGGGAGGACTCTGGGAGGCGGTGCCAAAACATGCCAGTGATCCCAAGTGAGGGGCAACGAAGCTTCTCAGAAGCTGGGTGTCACCCACCACCTCTCAGAAGCTGACCACCACCTCTCAGCAGCTGGGTATCACCCACCACCTCTCAGAAGCTGGGTATCACCCACCACCTCTCAGAAGCTGACCACCACCTCTCAGAAGCTGGGTATCACCCACCACCTCTCAGAAGCGGGGTGTCACCCACCACCTCTCAGAAGCGGGGTGTCACCCACCGCCTCTCAGAAGCTGGGTGTCACCCACCGCCCCTCAGAAGCTGGGTATCACCTCTCAGAAGCTGGGTATTATCCACCACCTCTCAGAAGCTGGGTATTATCCACCACCTCTCAGAAAACGTGGCTTCTAGAGGCACTAACTCTGTAGCACTTCTGGCTTCTTCTGCGTGGGCCAAAAATGCAAGTGGAGAAAAGCCTCAGGCAGAGTCACAGGTGTCTGGAAGAAGCTTTCTGCAGGTAGAGGGGAATGGCGGGGGATGGAGGTGGAGAAGACATTGTCAGCTGCAATTGCCCACCCAACCTTTGCCCCCTTCCTGCAGAGCTCTGATCTTGTTCTGGTCCCTGTGCCCACCTACAGCCGCCCCGTATCTTCACAAGAGAATCCTGATTGGCTGGAGTCATTATGGTCATCCCATTCTCTTTGTCAGTAATATGTTTGAGAAATAACCTGTTACCCACTCCTGGCCAATTAGAGTTCAAGATCATCTACCTGAGGCTCCAGGGAAAGGTTTGCTCCTTCATCAAAGGGAGGAGGAGACACGCTCCTCTTCTGCTGCTGGGCACGGTCGGCCATGGATGTGTTGCCTGGGTCTGTGGCAAACATCTCGCTACAGTGACAGGAGCTAATTGGAAGGCAGAGCCAGTGTCCTGAGGACGGCAGGATCTCTGAGAACCCCAGTCCTTAAGATATACCCAAGCTTGGCACCAACTGAATGTTTAAGAAAGAAAAAAAAAGACACATCCAAGTGAAATTCTTGCATATGGGCACCAGGAGCCATCAAAAATGTTCATATCAGCATAGCTCATAGTAGCAAAAAGCTGGAACCACTCAGTGATATAGTCACACATGGAATATTATACATCAGCAAAAGGATGATCTATGCCCCCACAACACGGATGAACCTTGGAAACAATATTAAATTAAAAAAAGGGGCCAGGCACGGTGGCTCACGCCTGTAATCCTAGCACTTTGGGAGGTCGAGGCAGATGGATTGCCTGAGCTCAGGAGTTCGAGGCCAGCCTGGGCAACATGGTGAAACCCCATTTCTACTAAAATACAAAAACTTAGCCGGGCATGGCAGCGTATGCCTATAATCAGCTGCTCGGGAGGCTGAGGCAGGAGAATTGCTTGAACCCAGGAGGGGGAGGTTGCAGTGAGCGGAGACTGTGCCACTGCACTCCAGGCTGGGTGACAGTGCGAGACTCCATCTCTAAAAAAGAAAAAAAAAGGACGTCTGTTTAACACAAATGTATTTATGATACAACGATATTTTACAGTGCAACAAAAAGTGTAAACTGTAGGGCAGGGACAGTGGTGACCTCTTGGTGGGGGTTGGGGAGTCGGGGAAGGGAGGGGTGCACAGGACGATGAGACGGTTGGTTATGTTTGACTTCTTGGTTTGGATAGCGGGTTCATGCTTGTTTAAGGAAAAGATAAAGAAAGAAAAAAACCTGGATCTTTTTTTCGTTGAGGCCCAGGCTGGAGTGGAGTGGCGCCATGTCGGCTCACTGCAGCCTCCGCCTCCCGGGTTCAAGTGATTCTCCTGCCTCAGCCTCCCAAGTAGTGGAGTGCAATGATTGCACCACTGTACTCCAGCCTGGGTGACAGAGTGAGACCCTGTCTCAAAAAAAAAAAAAAAAAAAAAAAAAAAGAAGGTTACCAATACAATCAGGGGCAATGTCGTTCAAGATTTGGAAATGGGCAAAAGAGAATGCTGGGTGTCCTTTCTGTGGAATGCCAGGTGTTGCCCTCCTAACTCTTGGGGATTATGATTCTATGGGGTGCACCTTGACTTACCTTTCTAATAACTAGGCTATTTTACAACTCCATAGGGATAAAAGCTAAGCTGTAAAAAAACTTACAGTAATGCAAGTGATTCTTACCTACAAGAATACAAATGAATTTTGTCTGGCAAAGATACAATTTTGTCTGGCAAAGATACAATTCTATCCTGGAGAAAAGATAATCTCAAAACATTACATTTTATTGTACTGTAGGATATTATGGGTGTTAACCACTTTGCATTTATTAGCAACTTCATTTCAGCATTTCTCTAATATATTTGGCCTTGAACAACATGGGTTTGAACTGTGTGGGTTCACTTACATGTGGATTTTTTTCAATACATATATTGGAAAATTTTTTGGAGATTTGTAACAATTTGAAAAAACTAGAAGATGAACTGCTTAGCCTGGAAATATTGAAAAAAGGAAGAAAAAGGTAGGTCATGAACGCATAAAATATATGTAGCACTAGTGTATTATTTTAAGAGATAGGGTCTTGCTCTGTTGCCCAGGCTAGAGTGCAATGAAACAATCACTCACTGCAGCCTCCAACTCCTAAGGTCAAGCTGTCCTCCTGCTTCAGCCTCCCAGGTAGCTGGGACTACAGTTGCAGGCCACCACACCTGGCTAATTTTTACATCTTTTATTTTATTTTATTTTTGTAGAGACAGGGTCTCACTATGTTGAGACTCCATCTCAAAAAAAGAAAAAACAAAGGGAAAGAACTCAGCGATATAGTCATATGTGGGATGTCAAATATCAGCAAAAGAATGAACGGTGCCCCCACGACATGGGCACCAGGAGCTGTCAAGAATAGTTCCTATCAAGGAAAATTCTAGAAAATTTTCTCTACAAGAGACAGAGTCTTGCTATGTTTCTCAGGCTGGTCTTGAACACCAGGCCTGAAGCAATCCTCCTGCCTTGGCCTCCCAAAGCACTAGGATTATAGGCATGAACCACTGCACCTAGCCCAATACTAGTTTTTTAAAATCATTTACCACCATAAAATATACATACATCTACTTTAAAAAGTTAAAATGTATCAAAACTTACCCACACATTTACAGACCATGCCTGCAGTCAAGAGAAACATAAACAAATTTAAAGATGCAGTATTAAATATAACTGTATAAAGTTCACTGCAACACATCTTGGACTACTGTGATAATTTAAAGATGCAGTGTTAAATTGTAACTGTATAAAGTTCACTGTAGCCGGGCGTGGTGGCTCATGCTTGTAATCCCAGCACTTTGGGGGGCCAAGGCAGGTGGATCACCTGAGGTCAGGAGTTCCAGACCAGCCTGGCCAATTTGGTGAAACCTGCTCTCTACTAAAAATACAAAAAAAATTGGCTGGGCATGTTGGCAGGCACCTGTAATCCCAGCTACTCGGAAGGCTGAGGCAGGAGAATTGCTTGAACCTGGGAGGCAGAGGTTGCAGTGAGCTGAGGTTGCGCCATTGCACTCCAGCCTGGGCAACAAGAACAAAACTCCATCTCAAAAACAAAAAAAAAAAGATAACTGTAACACGTGCTGCACTACTGTGATAATTTAAAGATGCAGTGTTAAATCATAACTGTATAAAGTTAATTGTAACACATACCGCATTACCGTGATAACTTAAAGATGCAGTGTTAAATCGTAACTGTGTAAAGTTAATTGTAACACATACCGCATTACCGTGATAATTTAAAGACGCAGTGTTAAATCGTAACTGTATAAAGTTAACTGTAACACATACCGCATTACTGTGATAATTTAAAGATGCAGTGTTAAATCGTAACTGTATAAACTTCACTGTAACACATACCACATTACTGTGATAATTTAAAGATGCAGTGTTAAATCATAACTGTATAAACTTCACTGTAACACATACCACATTACTGTGATAATTTAAAGATGCAGTGTTAAATCGTAACTGTATAAAGTTAATTGTAACACATACCGCATTACTGTGGTAATTTAAAGATGCAGTGTTAAATCATAACTGTATAAACTTCACTGTAACACATACCACATTACTGTGATAACTTAAAGATGCAGTGTTAAATCGTAACTGTATAAAGTTAATTGTAACACATACCGCATTACCGTGATAATTTAAAGATGCAGTGTTAAATCGTAACTGTATAAAGTTCACTGTAACACATACCGCATTACCGTGATAATTTAAAGATGCAGTGTTAAATCGTATCTGTATAAAGTTCACTGTAACACATACCGCATTACCGTGATAATTAAAAGACGCAGTGTTAAATCGTAACTGTATAAAGTTCACTGTAACACATACCGCATTGCTGTGATAATTTAAAGATGCAGTGTTAAATCGTAACTGTATAAAGTTCACTGTAACACATACCGCATTACCGTGATAATTTAAAGACGCAGTGTTAAATTGTAACTGTGTAAAGTTCACCGTAATATTGCACTACTGTGATAATTTAAAGATGCAGTGTTAAATTGTAACTGTATAAATTTCACTGTAACACATACTGCCCTACTGTGATAATTTTGTAGCCATCTCCTGTTGTTATTTTAATCAGCCCAAGTGTTGCAAATATCCCCTTAAAATGTCATGTGACAAAGTAAATTATCTAGGCGGTGGCTCATGCCTATAATCCCAGTGCTTTAGGAGCCCGAGGAAGGAGGATCACTTGAGGTTGGGAGTTTGAAACCAGAAATTTTTTCTACAAAAGAAAAATTAAAAAATTACCCAGGCATGGTGGCGCCTGCCTGTAGTCCCAGCTACTCAGGAGGCTGAAGGAGAGGATCAGTTGAGCCCAGGAGTTGGAGGCTGCAGCGAGCCATGACTGTGCCACTGCACTCCAGCCTGGGCGATGGAGCAAGACTCTGTCTCAAAACAAAAACAAAAACAAACATGAACAAACCCGCTAATTATCTCCACATGAGCAGCTTACCTCTCCAGTAAGTTGTGAACAGCAGGAAAAAGTGATCGATTGGAGTTCTCCAGCGTCTTTCACTGTGTTTAGTGCAATGCCCTAAGCCTTATAGCAACACCGTAGGACCCAGATGAACTGCTACGGATGATGCTGGAAGTGCTCCCAAAAAGCAAAGGAAAGTCCTGACATTACAAGAAAAAGCTGGATTGCCTGATATGTACCATAGATTGAGGTCTGCAGCTGCGGCGGCCTGCCGTTTCAGACAGACCATTCATCTTGTAGACAGATGATATAAACTTACAGTAATCAGTGTCAGTACAGCACTGTCAATGTGTTTTCTCTCTGATTTTCTTAATAACATTTTATTTACTTTACTGTATATGATACATATACAAAAAACATGTTCATCGACTGTTTATGCCATTGGTAAGGCTTCTGGTTAATAGTAGGCTATTGTTACTTATGTTTTGGGGGAGTCAGAAGTTACACACGGATTTTTGATGGCACGGGGATTGGCAGCCCTAACCTCCATGTTGGTCAAAGGTCAACTGTGTTTGTGTGGGTGGGTGTATGTTTATGTTTTTTTTTTTTTTTTTTTTTGAGACGGAGTCTCGCTCTTTTGCCCAGGCTGGAGTGCAGTGGCGCGATCTCGGCTCACTGCAAGCTCCGCCTCCCGGGTTCACGCCATTCTCCTGCCTCAGCCTCCCGAGTAGCTGGGACTACAGGTGCCCACCACCACGCCCAGCTAATTTTTTTTTGTATTTTTAGTGGACACGGGGTTTCATCATGTTAGCCAGGATGGTCTCGATCTCCTGACCTCGTGATCCTCCCGTCTCGGCCTCCCAAAGTGCTGGGATTACAGGCTTGAGCCACCGCGCCTGGCCTGTTTATGTTTATATATAAAGACACACATAATACATATTATATACCTATATAAAATGTATAAAAATAATATGTTTATATATACAATAGATGTTTATATGGTATATATATGTTTATAGATACTATATATGTTTGTGTATAATATATACATTTCTTTCCTTCAAATTATTTGAACCAGTTTTAACATCTTATTGGTTTCTTCGTCAAAGTGTTGAATAAAATTTTACATCAAAGGCATGATTTGACCTTTTTGAAAACCATAATTTAGCACAGAAATAAAATGCTTCCCCCTTTACTTTAAAAGAACAACTCTCTATCTTAACATTTTTGTTTTCTTTTTTTTTTGAGGCAGAGTCTCACTCTGTTGCCCAGGCTGGAGTGCAGTGGCGCAGTCTTGGCTCACTGTAACCTCTTCCTCCCAGGTTCAAGCGATTCTCCTGCTTCAGCCTCCTGAGTAGCTGGGACTACAGGCGTGCGCCACCACGCCCAGCTAATTTTTGTATTTTCAGTAGAGACAGGATTTCACCATGTTGGCCAGGCTGGTCTTGAACTCCTGGCCTCAAGTGATCTGCCTGCCTTGGCTTCCCAAAAGTGCTGGGATTACAGGCGAGAGCCACTGTGCCCGGCCTCATTCTATCTTAACTTCGATTTATTTATCTGGAAAATGCTTCTAAGCCTGCAACAGCACAAGGAATGGGCAGCTCTTGGAGCACAGCTGTTTGTCTCCTCAGTCGGACCAAGTTCCTTGAGGTCAGAAAGTATGAGAAAGTACGATGTCTTTATTTCTGCTCTTGCAGACCTGCCCAGCTCTTGGCACAGAGCTGACGTTTTGTGAGTGGCTAAATGAGCAAAGCAAGGGGAATGGAACCGATTCTCGTAACTCTGAAAGAGATTGGGCAAGTATACTCCTGTTGGATAGATGAGGAAACTGATACACAGAGATGTAAGTGAATCGCTCAACCTCACAATGCTAGTCAGTCACCAAATGGGTTGGAACCCATGTTCCTAGTTCCACATATCCTGCAAGAGAGCGGTAGACTTTACAATGATGTAAGTGAATTGCTCAACCTCACAATGCTAGTCAGTCACCAAATGTGGCCAGAACGCATGTTCCCAGTTCCACGAATCCTGCAAGAGAGTGGTAGACTTTACAATGATATTTGTTGACCAACCAGCGAGATGGTGGCATCTTCACTGTTGGTGTCGGCTTCCTTGTTTATACTTTGTCTTTGTGGTTTCAGAGACTATTATTGTTATGAGCTCTTCGAACATTCTCCAGAGTGGAAGTTTCTTTCCCAAGAAGGACCAGGTTTTCCCCTTTGGTTGGCACTGATGTGGGCAAGCCCTGGGCAGGGCTTACGGTTCATGGCTTTCCTGCTGTGTGCTCAGCCTGGGTCCCTCCAGCTGGCCCGGCTGCTGATTCCAGCTTTCCACTCTGTCCTGCCCACACTGTGAGTGTCTTCCCCAAGGCAGACAAGCAGTGTCCACACTTCTGCAGCACCAGCCTTCGATGTGGGCAAGAGGAGTCCCTTCCCTCTGTCCCGTGCTCCATCGGATCCTGCTGTCTCCACTCCAGCTGTATCTCTCCCTGAGAGATGGGAATCACGTGGAATCGAGGGGTCTCACCCACGTAGAGCCTATCCCCCCTCCTTCCTTCTAGCCCACAATCCGAGTACCTGGGACCTCGGAGTTTCTTGCCCAAATAGCCTCAGCCTGCTTGTAGGGCCTATGTGGGCCTCTTTCCTGGGTCTTTCCTCCGGAGCACCCTTAGGCCCAAGGGCAGCATGGATGGAAACTGCACAGGGCAGGCTCAGGCGTCCACACCCAAGTGCTCACGGGACCTTCTCAGTGCTGGAGCTGGAAGTAGGAAGAGGAGGTGCAGGCCTGGGGCAGGCTGCAGAACCCTGAAGAATCTGAAATTCGAAATTTAAATCTGACCTTCCAGGTTGTTACGAAAGTATATTCGTCAAGGTAGGAGAACAGTGCATATTTCACTTAACAGTTTGTCATAACTTTTAATATTTAGACATAAGGTGCGTGGGCCGCTGTGCCTGCTCTTGCCCCAGGCTTTGCAACTGTGAAGAGCAGGTCTGTGCTTCCCTCTTCCTCCTTTGAGAACTCACTCCAACCGCTTCCTGATTTTCACTTCATACCTTAAAAAAAAAAAGGAAAAGAAAAACTCTACAACTAGTTAAGCAAATTGTACTACCTCCATATGGTGGACTACTTGGCTGCCTCTAAAAAAGAACGAGGCAGCTCATTTTAGGCTGATGTGGAACAAAGGCCAAGACTGTTCATGGAGAGGGAGCGAGGCGCGGTGTGTGCGGTTTGCTAACATCTGCTGCCCCCGTGCTCCACCCCAACCCCAGGACCTCCTTGCTGTTTCTCCGGCACCTGGAACACTCTTGCCCTGGCTGTCCTTGCTTTGTTCACGTGTTACCTTATCAGAGAAGCCTTTCCTGACCTTTCCCCTGTGTCCCTTTGCTGTGCTTACTCCCCTCCACAGCACGAGTGCAGCTTGACATGTACATCTGTTTATCTGTGTAGCACTTTCTCTTTCTATTAGAAACAGGAAAGCTGGAAACTTTGTTTTGTTCCCGGCTGTACCCCCATCACCTAAAGTAGTGTCTGGCATACAGCAGGCTTTCAATCAATACTTACCACATAAACACGTGTGTAAAAAAGGTGCCATCTATGCATATATGTATGTGCCTGGAATACTGCTAAAAGGATACATAAGAAATGGGTAAAATGACTGTCTCTTTGGAAGGAGAGGAAAAGACACTTCGTTTTCACTCTATCTTCTTTTGTGATCCTTCATTTTGTTGCCACATGGATATAATACTCATTTTGAATATTTTTTCTTTTTTTGAGACAGAATCTTGCTGTGTCGCCCAGGCTGGAGTGCAGTGGTGCGATCTCGGCTCACTGCAACCTCTGCCTCCTGGGTTCAAACAATTCTCCTGGCTCAGCCTCCCGAGTAGCTGGGATTACAGATGTGCGACATCATGCCTGACTAATTTTTCCATCTTTAGTAGAGACGGGGTTTCACCATATTGGCCAGGCTGCTCTCAAACTCCTGACCTCAGGTGATCCACCTGCCTCGGCCTCCCAAAGTGCTGGGATTATAGGTGTAAGCCACTATGCCTGGCCTGAAAATTTTTTTTAAGTTGCACAAATTCATCAACAGAAGGAAAAAATTTAAAAAGTGGTTGAGAGCTGGACATGGCAGCTCATGCCTGTAATCCCAGCACCTTGAGAGGCTGAGGCGGGCGGATCATCTGAGGTCGGGAGTTTGAGACCAGCCTGGCCAACATAGTGATATGCTGTCTCTACTAAAAATACAAAAATTAGACTGGTATGGTGGCTCCCGCCTGTAGTCACAGCTTCTTGGGAGGTTGAGGCATGAGAATTGCTTGAACCCAGGAGGCGGAGGTTGCAGTGAGCCAAGGTTGTGCCGTTGTACTCCAGCCTGGGTGACAGAGCGAGAACCTGTCTAAAAAAAATGGGGTTGAGTTCTGGTGTGGTGGCTTACACTTGTAATCCCAGCACTTTGGGAGGCTGAGGCAGGAGGATCACTCAAGGCCAAGAGTTCAAGACCAGCCTGGGCAACATAGGAAGACCCTATCTCTCCAAATTTTTTTTTTTTTTCTTTGAGAGAGAGTCTCATTCTGTTGCCCAGCTCACTGTGACCTCCTCCTCCTGGGTTCAAGTGATTCTCCTGCCTCAGCCTCCTCAGTAGCAGGGATTACAGGTGCGTGCCATCATGTTGCTAATTTTGGTATTTTTGGTAGAGACGGGTTTCACCATGTTGATCAGGTTGGTCTCGAACTCCTGACCTCATGATCTGCCCACCTCGGCCTCCCGAAGTGCTGGGATTACAGGCCTGAGCCACCATGCCTGGCCTAATTTTTTTAAAAAATTAGCCAGGTGTGGTGGTGCACCCACAGTCCCAGCTACTCAGGAAGCTGAGGCCGGAGGATCACTTAAGCCTGGGATTTCTAGGCTGCAGTGAGCCAGGATGCACCACTGCACTGCAGCCTGGTGACAGAATGAGACCCTCTCTCAAGAAAAAAAAAAAAAAAGTGGTTGAGTTTCATGATGGAATATTATATGGCAATGAAAAACAAACAATGGTCTAACGTGACCACCCGTACAAATCCCTCGAATGTGCAGCCAGAATCCTGTAAGTTTTGGAAGAATACAAATGGGCAAATCCATGGAGACAGAAGGCGGGTTAACGGTTGCAGGAGTTGCAGGGAGGGCGACATTGGGAGTGACTATTTCATGGACATACAATATTCTTGCCCCACCCCCGTCGACAGTGCTCAGAGAAAAAGAATGTTCTTATATTATCTTCCTTGTATGTGGAGGTTTATTACGGGAATTGGCTTACACGATTACGAGGGCTGAGAAGTATCACAATCTGCCACCTGCCAGCTGGAGAACCAGAGAGCCAGTGACAGAATTCAGTCCAAAAGCCAGAGAACCAGGAGTTTCACTGTTCGAGGACAGGAGAGGGTGGATGCCCCAGCTCAAGACCAGAGAGCAAGTTCATCCTTCCCCTCCTTTTTGCTGTGTCCCTACCTGACTGGATGATGTGCCCACTCACATTGGTGAGGGTGACCTTCACTCAGTCCACGATTCAAACGCAAATCCTTTCCAGAAACACCCTCTCAGACACACCCCCAAATAATGCCTAACTAGCCACCTGGGCATCCCTTATCCAGTCAAACTTACACTCAAAATTAACCATCAAAATTCTTATGGGGTGATTGAAAAACGTTTTGAAACTAGAGAGAGGTGGTGGTTGGATAACATTGCGAATGCTCTGAATGATACATGTTAGAATGGTTAATTGTATGTTATATGAATTTTGCCTCAATTTTTAAAAGCATGCAGCATGACTGGGCATGGTGGCTCACGCCTGTAATCCCAACAGTTTGTGAGGCCGAGGCAGGCAGGTCACTTGAGCTCAGGAGTTTGAGACCAGCCGGGTGTAGTGGTACGTGCTTGTAGTCTCAGCTAATCAGGAGGCTGAGGTGGGAGGATCGCTTGAGCCCAGGAGGTCAAGGCTGCAGTGAGCTGAGATCACACCACTGCACTCCAGCCTGGGTAACAGAGTGAGACCCTGTCTTAAAAACAAAAGAAAACAAAATAAAACAAAACATACAGTATGATACCATTTATGTAAAGTTTAAAACACACAAAACAGCCGGGTGTGGGGGCTCACGCCTGTAATCCCATCACTTTGGGAGGCCGAGGCGGGCAGATCACGAGGTCAGGAGATCAAGACCATCCTGGCTAACATGGTGAAACCCCATCTCTACTAAAAATACAAAAAACTAGCCGGACGTGGTGTCATGCGCCTGTAGTCCCAGCTACTCAGGAGGCTGAGACAGGAGAATGACTTGAACCCGGGAGGCAGAGGTTGCAGTGAGCCGAGATCGCGTCACTGCACTTCGGCCTGGGCAACAGAGCGAGACTCTGTCTCAAAAAAAAGTGTCAGAATGAAAAGTAGACTTTGCTGAAGACTGTCTCCACTCGAGCAAATTCTAGTCTCCTGTTGCATTTGTTTCCTGGGGCTGCCCTAGTAAATTACCACAAACTGGCTGACTTAAAACAAAATGGATGTATTATTTCACAGTCCGGCGGCCGGAAGGCTGAAATCAAGGTGTCAGCAGGGTGGTCCTCCCTCTGGAGGCTGCAGGGGAGAATCCGTCCTTCCTTCCTCCCGTTTCTGGGGGCCCCAGGTGTCCCTGGGCGTGTGGCTGCATCACTCCAATCTCTGCCTCCATCTTCCTAGGGCCGCCTTCTAGTCTCTACGTACATCTTATAATGATGCTTGTCACTGGATTTAGGGCCTACGAAATGTCCAGGATGATCTCATCATGACAGCCTCAATTTAATTATGTCTGCAAAGACCCTTTTACCAAATAAAGTCACAGTCACAGGTTCTGGGAATTAGGATGTGGACATATATTTTTCAGGCCATCATTCAACCTACTAGATCTATAAATCCGAGTTTCTTTCCTTTTTTTTTCTGAGACAAGGTCTGCTGTGTCCCCCAGGATGGAGTGCAGTGTCGCAATCAAGGCTCACTGCAACTCCACCCGCCAGGTTCAAGCGATCCTCCTACCTCAGCCCCTCAACCTGCCCGGCCTCCGTAGCTGGGAGTACAGGCACGCACCACCACACCCTGCTAATTTTTTTATTTTTAGTAGAGACACGGCGCTCGCCATGTGGCCCAGGCTGGTCTCAAATTCCTTGGGCTCAAGTGAGCTTTGAGCTTCCTGCTTTGGCTTCCCAAAGTGCTGGGATCACAGGCGTGAGCCACTGTGCCCGACCTAAATCCAACTTTCATTCTTTTTTCCAATTCCACCCCCCCCTCTTCCCTGCAGTGCAGGTGCTGGCAGGTGGAAGGAGGGCTCTCTTCTCTTTCTCCGTCATCCTTCTGCTTTGATCCTCTCCAGATCTGGGCATCGGAGGATTTCCCGGGAGCCCGTTTGTAATACATCCTCAGGCCGGCCTCTTGATCCTCTCCAGAGGCGCATCTCAGCCTCTGGTGACGGGTTCCCTTGCCCCCGGGGCTTCTTCAAGGCTGCTTGACCCCCGCTTTCTTCCAGTTTCTACTTGGCTTTTGGGAAACTCTCCTGGTCAGACAGTGGGAAGGAGGCCTGCTCCGCCTGGTCAAGAGTGGGAAGGGGGGCCGCTCCGCCTGGTCAAGAGTGGGAAGCGGGGCCGCTCCGCCTGGTCAGAGGGTGGGAAGGCGGGCCCGCTCCGTCTGGTCAACAGTGGGAAGGAGGCCTGCTCCATCTCTACGCAGTTTTGCCGCACTACTGCAAGCACAGAGCAGTTTCCTCACCCCTAATTCTCCAGGCTAGAAATAGGTAACAGGCTCTGGACACATGGTTTGGGTTAAGGGGTGGGGTGGGGGTGGGAGGGTGACCCCGGGGGACATTTGGCAACACCCGAAGACATTTTTTATTGTCACAGCTGGGGGTTGGATGTGTGCCACTATGATTTAGGGGGTAGAGGCCAGGGATGCTGCTACACATTGTACCATACACAGGACAGCCCCCTCACCCCCCAGAGGAATACCTGGCTGAAAAAGTCAATCGTGCTGTGGCTGAGTAACCCTGCTCAGGGTTACTGCGCCCGAACTCCAGGACCCCACACTCTGCTCCTGGAGCTGTGGAGTGCCAGCCAGGCTTCTGGGGAGGGAGAGGGCCATCCTGCAGGCAGCCTTGATTTCTTGGAAGGATCTTCTGGTTGGGGTCGGGGGGGGTGTGGGTGAAGGGAAAACACAGGTGGGGTTAAAGACAAACTTGTCTTCTCATAACCTGTTGACCTGTTGCCTGGGTAGCTCCCCTCCCAAGGAATACGGTCCTCTGGTATCAGTGGGGAGGGAGTGAGGGGCAAAGGACCAGCTTGGTTCCCTCTTGGAAAGTCTTGAAGGGTATCTGGCAGCTCCTGTTGAGCAGTGAAGGTCCTTATCACTTATCCACCTCAGTGAATATGTCTGAATGTATCCCAAAGGCTTATGTGCTGGCAACTGAATCCCAGTGTAACAGTGGTAGGGGGTGGACATGTTCAATAAGAGCCTGATACGAGGTGACTAGGTCATGAGGGCTGAGCCCTCTTGAATGGGTTAATAGTGTTCTGGCAGGGCTGGGTGCGGTGGCTCACGGCTGTAATCCCAGCACTTTGGGAGGCCGAGGCGGGCGGATCACGAGGTCAGGAGATCGAGACCATCCTGTAAATGGTGAAATCCCATCTCTACTAAGAATACAAAAAATTAGCGGGGCATGGTCGTGGGCACCTGTAGTCCCAGCTACGTGGGAGGCTGAGGCAGGAGAATGGCGTGAACCTGGAAGGCGGAGCTTGCAGTGAGCTGAGATCGTGCCACTGCACTCCAGCCTGGGTGAAAGAGCGAGACTCTGTCTCAAAAAAAAAAAAATTTTTGTTCTGGCAGAAGTGAGTTAGGTCTCATGAGAGCACGTTGTTCTAAAGTGAGCTGACCCTGGCGACTCTCCCTCCGCTGTGCGCACACTGGCTTTTGCCTTCTAACTTCCACCGAGATGACCTGCCCTCGCCACATGCTGGTGCCATGCTCTTGGACTTCCCAGGCTCCAGAACCATGAACTGAATATACTTTTTTTCTTTATAATTTACTCGGTCGGTGGCATTATGTTATAGAAACAGAGAACAGACTAAGACAGCGCTCCTAGTAGAAATTCCTAGACAATAGGAAGTGCCCAGTAGTGTTCATTTATTCACTTGAAGTCTGCTCCCCTCTCTAGACAGCAAGCTCCTTGGAGGCAGGGGATTCTCTTCACCTCTGTATCCCCAGCTCCTGCAACTGTGCATAACAATTATCTGTTGATGAGTAAATGAAGAGTTCGCCTTATTTAGAGAATCGTTGGATTTATGGCTAGCAAGATCTCTCTCTCTCTCTGTCTCTGTCTGTCTGTCTGTCTGTCTCTCTATTAGTAATCCCAGTAATTTATTTGAAGAAAGAGAAGAAATGAGCTTGCTTGGACCAAGGAGCAAAAAGCAAAGACAGGAGACCACTTTGAATGTCATTGAGTAGATGGGGAATGAGGCTCTTGCCTAGATTATGGGAAGAGGAGTTAGTAAAAGGGCTGTATCACCAGCCCCTCCCCATGACATTGGAGTGAGGGGCTGTGCAGCTGGGTGGCTGGTTAGGGTGGGGTGCACACGTGTGGAGTGCGGGGCTGTGCAGCCCGGTGGCTGGTTAGGGTGGGGTGCACACGTGTGGAGTGAGGGGCTGTGCAGCCCGGTGGCTGGTTAGGGTGGGGTGCACACGTGTGGAGTGTGGGGCTGTGCAGCCCGGTGCCTGGTCTAGGGTGGGGTGCACACGTGTGGAGTGAGGGGCTGTGCAGCCCGGTGCCTGGTCTAGGGTGGGGTGCACACGTGTGGAGTGAGGGGCTGTGCAGCCCGGTGGCTGGTCTAGGGTGGGGTGCACACGTGTGGAGTGAGGGGCTGTGCAGCCCGGTGGCTGGTTAGGGTGGGGTGCACACGTGTGAACACCTGTGTGGCATCAGCCCCCACTCTGCAGTGAGCATGCAGGAGCCCCCCCACCCCACCCACCATGAGAGGATGAGGCCGCCTCACACTGGGTCGGGGGAAGGGGAGTGGAACGGTCCTGAGTGTGCTGCCTTGTGGGCCAAGGGGACAAACGCTGGGGCAGGAGAGAAGGGAGTGGTTTCTGGAGTTAGCCAGGAGGCTGCACCTGTGTTCACCTGTTAGCTATCCTCAGGGCACAGACAGAAAAAGATGGTTTTGTTACTGTCATTCGGACCTTATGTGGTAAGACCTGGGAAAACAGGGGTTAAGTGAAACATGTGAGAATCCCGTCTAGGAAGAGCTGGCACAGAGCAGAGGTGCAACGAGTGTTTACTGAAAGCTGTAATGGTGAATAGAAGGTTGGGCGATTGGGTTCGTGTGGGCTCCACAGGGGTACAGCTATAGCCAAGAGGAAGGCTTCAGGGAGGCAGCCTCGGGTCACCTATGCGTCTTTCTCAGGCGGTTGGCCATCCCAAGGAAGGTCGAGTCACCCCAGAGACACGGAGTGGTCTACCCCCGTCTGTGCAAGCGGCGGTGCGAGCAGCTCCTGGGGGCTGGGGGGTGGGCTAAGGCCAGCGGAATTCCTGCACCCTTGAGGCTTTAGGGTTAGGAGGTGAGGAGGGAATATTAACATTAAGAATGCTCTCCAGCTGAGGGGCCTACAGTGAGCGAGACCTGGGGTCACGACCTCATTCAGTCATCACAACAGGACTATTGTTGTCTCTGTTTTGCACATAAAGAAACTGAGGCTTGGAGTTCGAGACCAGCCTGGGTAACACAGTGGGACCTCGTCTCTACAAAACATACAAAAATTGGCCGGGCGTGGGAGCGGTGCCTGCGGTCCCGACTGCCGGGGAGGCTGGGGTGAAAGGGTCGCTGGAGCCCAGGAGGCGGAGGCTGCAGTGAGCCGCGCCCCTGCCGTCCAGCGAGACCGTGGGGACCCGCCCCGCGGCGAGGTCACCATCCAGAGGCCGCCCAGCAGGTGCCCTCCGGCCCGGGCTCTGCGGCCACAGGTCCCAGCGGGGCGGGGCGGGGCGGGCGCCGGTTTCACGGTTTTGCCGCCAGAGGGCAGCGAGGGAGCGCGCGGGCTGCGGGGCCGAACCCCGGGTGAGTCCGGGGGGGAAGCGGGGCCGCCCCGGGTCCGGGGCCCAGTCCGAGGGCGGGGGGTGCGCGCGGCTCAGCGGCGGGGCCGGCGGGGCGCACAGGGAGGCGGCGGGGACCTGGGAGCTCTTGGCGCCCCGGGCGGGGGCGGTTCCGGGGCCGGCGGGGCGCGGGCAGGGCCTGGAGCTGGGTTTCCTCCCGCCGGCGGCCGGAGCCTGGGCTGCACCCGACTCCCCCGAGCAGCGCCCGGGCCCGGAGCCCCCCGCTCCGAACGGCCTGCGCTCCGCCCCGACCTCGGGGACCCTCGGGGACCCTGTGGTGCCCCCAGCTCGGGGTGCGGGTGGGGGGGGGCGGGGACGCGGCGGGGGGTGGGGGAGGGCGGCGCCGGGTGAGTTCCGGGGAGCGAGTCCACAGCGCGGCGTTTCCCAGCGCCCGCCCCGGCGCGCACGTGCGGGGAGGGGCCCGGGGGTCCAGGCTGCCGCCCCTCTGCACCTGGCCTCGCCTGCGGCGTGGACCCGACGCCCCACGAGACTGGGGGCCCCCGTGGGGGCCCCGGGCCCTGCACACTTGGGCTTTCGCCCGCGGCTGGGTGGTCGGAAGGGGGGTCGTGCGTGCAGGATTTGGGGGGCCCTTCTCACAGCCGAGACCGACGACGCCTCCACTCGCCCCGCCCATCCCTTCCAGCCTGAGTCCCGCGGGGTTGGCTTCCAGCCCTCCCAAAGCCGCTTCCCGGAGTCGGGCGGAGGCGTCGGGGAAGCGCTTCCATCCGTCCCAGGCGCCTCACTGCTCGGGACGACGGCTCTGGGCCCGCCGTGGAGCCGCCTTTCCTTTCCTGCGCCGCACGGAGGCCTCTGCCGGGGGCGCTGGGGCTTGTGCCTCCTGCCCGGCTGCTCAGAGGGCAGAGCGACCCCAGGGTCGCCTGGGTCCGTAACACCTTGGGGGTCGTCCTGCGGGGAGGCGTCTTGCTGCAGGTGGAGACCCGTCCCCGGGGAGATCAGAGCCACGGAGATTCCGGGGAATGGTCACTGTCACCCTACATCTGTGCAGCGCGCACCTTTGACCCTCCCGGCAGCCTGAGGGCAGGGGGAGCCCTGGGGACGCCCCTGCAGACCCTGGTGGGCGCGTGGGTAGAGCCAGGACTGCAGTCCCGTCCCCGCCCCGCCCCGCCCGACACCGGGGGAGATCGCGCCCCGGGCCGCCTCCAGCCCCCAGCCCCACCCCCACTCCGCGTCTCTGACATCCCCTCGGCCTCCCATCTCCCATCTCCTGAAAAACACAAAACCCGGCATCGGAGCCGTCAGCTTGTTTCCTCTTTTCTCTGTCACGTTTTCCCACAAGAGCTCGGCACCTGCTGCCCCCTCCCCTCCAGCCGCCCCCTCCCCGCCAGCCGCCCCCCTCCATCCTCTGCAGCCTGGCTGCTGGTGGCCACTTTGCTGAAACTTCTAAACCCAAAAGTCGTTTTGTTTCCAAACACGCCTCTTCTGTGGTGCCTCGGTCGCTCTCCCCGGGAAGCGGACCCCTGCGCGCTGGTGTCCAGCTTGCAGCCTCCCCGCCGTCACTTCTGGGCATGCCTCTCTCCTGGTTCCTTCTCCTTTGCTGAGCCTTTTTCCCTCTTTCCTGGGACTGTTTTCCCAGGCCCTGTGTTGTACTTCTCACGGGGCTGGCTCCAGGAGTCCTCTGGGAATGCCCCCTCTGACTTCCAGCCCACCCTGTCTTGCTCTCTGGGTGCCACGGTGTCACCGCAAACTCAGCGCACCCGACTGGTCTCCTCCCAGGCAGCTGCCCTCACTCACTTCCCGCTGGTGGGTTTCCCTCATTCTCTGTCATTTACACTGGTCTCCAAAATGTGTCTGCCTCTCCCCTCTCCTTTGTGATGGATTCCTACAGGCCTTGAACATCTCAGTCCAGAGTACAGAGGCCTCTTAGCTGTTCTCTCTCCTGTGGGAACCCCCTCCAGCCCCATGTGGCAATCCATCCGGCATGTCCCTTCTAGAATGATGGTTCGTTTCACCCTGTCACCGACCCCCGCCCCACCGAGATATCTTCAGAGGCTCCATATGTCCTCCTGGGCAAAGCTCAGCTCCCCTGCCTGCATTTGAAGGCCCTCAGTCACGTGGCCTCATTCTCTCAAACTAATTTCCAATCCTGAAGCTTCTTGCCTCCTGCCCCTGGTTGGGCCCTCTCGCCCCTACCCTCTGGGACTTGGCTCAGGTGCAGTTTCCTTGGAAAAGCTTTGCTCACCTCCCTGGCTGCACCGGGGACCCTTCCCTGGCTTTGCTCACCTCCCTGGCTGCACCGGGGACCCTTCCCACTCCACGATGCCCTCAGGCCACCAGCTGCAGCTGTCGGCTGATCTCACATCCCCTTCTGTCCCTGATGGCAGCGGGAAGCTTGTTCCCCTTCTCTCTGGCTCTCCAGGACTGGGCGCCCTGCAAGCACTCAATGGAGGCATTCCCACCCTCAGGCCTCCAAGAACACCTCCCCAGCATCCTTAATACAATTGAGAGTTCAGTTCAAGCACCACCTCCCTCCTGGACGGTTCCGTTCGTCCAGTCCATCTGCGTTCCTGCTGGGCTTGTTGATGGATCCGTTGCAGGTTGTCCCACACGGTTTAGTATTTTGTTCTCTGCTATTAGCCTCCCACTGTATCATGAGTGCGAGATATACTTTTCCAGCTCTTAATCATTGCAGCTGTTTGTTGAGTGGGTTGTCCCGTGCCGGGCAGTGTGCTAATCATTCCAGGTAGTCCCTCGTTTTCCTTTATCTTAGAAACATCCAGAGGGGTAAGCATTAGGATTATTGTCCTCATTCTGTTCATAAGGACACAGAGAGGGCCAGAGACCTTCCTAAATCACACAGCATATAGGTGGCCAAGGTGGAGGCTGGAACTCAAGTCTGTCTGACTCCTAAGGCTGTTTTTAGATGCTAGGATTTGCCGTTTGTCCAGGAAGGCGTGTTTTTCAGTCCAGGGAGTGTGTGTTACATTTCCATGTCTTCTCAGCCCCTGGCCCAGGTGTGCAGGACTTCCTGGTGGCTCGGTTGGTTGCTTGCTTGCTTGGGACTCTGCTGGACTCCAGGAAAGGACTTTGTAACAAACAGATGGTTAATGATGGGACCAGTGATCCAGGGAGGCTATGACATCAGCCCCAGGAGGCCTTGGAAACAGGCCGTGTTTTTCTGTCTTGCCTTAAGTAAGAGTTGTGAATAGAGAGAACCTTGCAAGGGCCCTGGGATCATTTCTGCCTCTTAAGGCACCTTAAAATGCCCTTTTTTTGTAAACAAAACTAACTCCCCTCACCCCAAATGGGAAAGCCTTCAACTAAGTTTCTTTAGGAGACGTCCTTCCGTCCTTCCCTTCTCTGTGCAGGTCACTGTCATATGAAAACGAACTCCTGCTGTGAAACACGGTTACCATGGCAACCGGTCTTGCAAGGCTGGAATCTCCTGCTCCTGGGCCTCTTGCACTGTATGCTTTGAGGGGATTTCTTCCGTCTTTGTCATCTAAAAAAACAAAATACTCCAGTTCACTCTTCTTTTGCATCAACATTTAAAAACATTTTTTTCCCAGGCAGTGATTTTTGGGTACTTTGGGTGCCCCAGCAGGTTGTCATCAGGCCGCTGGCACACCATTAATAATGACCCCAGCAAAGTCACTGTGGTCGAGGTCCCATTTTGAGTGACATCCAGTGCCTCATGCATGAAAGGACAGTAGCTGCGGCCGCCACACATCTCTGATGCCTGGAGAGGCTGAGGGACAGGAGTGATCTGGCGTGGAAGGGAGGGCTTGCTGGTGGAGCTCAGCTCTAGCTGGAGATGGTAGAGTTGCTTGTCCTCAGTTGCGATCTCCTTTTCTTTGAGGACGTTGCTCACAGATATCCGGGCAGGGGACGCCCAGAGCAGGGTACTGCAGGGGTGTTGAGAAAGACAGGATACCTTCAGCAGGAATCATTGCTATGAACACTGATGAGTGCTCACCTTGTGCAGATGCTGCTCCCTTGTTTAAACCTCAGCCAAATGATGTTAGAGTACTATTCCCATGTTACAGGTAAGAAAACTGCTGCACAGAGAGGTTGAGTGTTTGTCCAAAGACACACAGCAAGGAGGGAACTTTAGTCCTAGAAAGTCTGACTCCTTTGGCCAATAGTCTTTAAAAAATTTTTTTTTCATCTTTTTATTACCCAGACTTCAAGGAGATGGCCAATACCCTTTACATGGTGCTCTGTAGACAGTGGAAGGACCATGTTTAAAGAATGAAAGGGTAAATTGGAGAGGTGGGGCACATTGGCTTTCCCAAGATTTGAGGCTTAAAGCAGTAGTTTTCAATGATGTATATTTTAGGATGGGTTGCAGTGAAAAGGCATATACTAGAATGTTCATAGCAGCACTATTTGTAATAGCCAAATCCACCCCCCAGGGAAATCCTACAATGTTTATCAGCAGTAGAATGGACACATAAACTGGGGTGAAGGCAGACAATGGAGCACCCCACTGTGGTGAGAAGGAACAATCTGACCACACAGCATACGTGGATGAATCACACAAACACAATGTCGAGTAAAAGGAACGAGACAGAAAGGAGCATGTCCTGCCTGATTCCACGTCTATAAAGTGCCAAAAGGGCCAAATGCACGGACGGTGTTGGAAGTGGGGGTCGTGGTTTCCGGGAGGTATGAGGAGGGCTTCTGGGAGCGATGAGGAGGGCTTCCGGGAGGCATGAGGACGGCTTCCGGGAGGGATGAGGAGGGCTTCCGGGAGGGATGAGGAGGGCTTCCGGGAAGCATGAGGAGGGCTTCCGGGAGGGATGTGGGGGGGGGGGCTTCCGGGAGGGATGAGCAGGGCTTCTGGGAGGGATGTGGGGGGCTTCCGGGAGGGATGAGGAGGGCTTCCGGGAGGGATGTGGGGGGCTTCCGGGAGGCATGAGGGGGGCTTCCGGGAGGGATGAGGAGGGGTTCCGGGAAGCATGAGGAGGGCTTCCGGGAGGGATGTGGGGGGGGGGCTTCCGGGAGGGATGAGGAGGGCTTCTGGGAGGGATGTGGGGGGCTTCCGGGAGGCATGAGGAGGGCTTCCGGGAGGGATGAGGAGGGCTTCCGGGAGGGATGAGGACGGCTTCCGGGAGGGATGTGGAGGGCTTCCGGGAGGGATGTGGAGGGCATCCGGGAAGCATGAGGAGGGCTTCCGGGAGGGATGAGGACTTCCGGGAGGGATGAGGAGGGCTTCCGGGAAGCATGAGGAGGGCTTCCGGGAGGGATGTGGGGGGAGGCTTCCGGGAGGCATGAGGAGGGCTTCCGGGAGGGATGAGGAGGGCTTCCGGGAGGGATGTGGGGGGCTTCCGGGAGGGATGAGGAGGGCTTCCGGGAGGGATGAGGGGGGGCTTCCGGGAAGCATGAGGGGGGCTTCCGGGAGGGATGAGGACGGCTTCCGGGAGGGATGTGGAGGGCTTCCGGGAGGGATGTGGAGGGCATCCGGGAAGCATGAGGAGGGCTTCCAGGAAGGATGAGGGCTTCCGGGAGGGATGAGGAGGGCTTCCGGGAGGGATGAGGGGGGCTTCCGGGAGGGATGAGGACGGCTTCCGGGAGGGATGAGGAGGGCTTCCGGGAGGGATGAGGGGGGCTTCCGGGAAGCATGAGGGGGGCTTCCGGGAGGGATGAGGAGGGCTTCCGGGAGGGATGAGGGGGGCTTCCGGGAAGCATGAGGGGGGCTTCCGGGAGGGATGAGGAGGGCTTCTGGGAGGGATGAGGAGGGCTTCTGGGAGGGATGAGGAGGGCTTCCGGGAGGGATGAGGAGGGCTTCCGGGAAGCATGAGGAGGGCTTCCGGGAGGGATGAGGAGGGCTTCCGGGAAGCATGAGGAGGGCTTCCGGGAGGGATGAGAAGGGCTTCCGGGAGGCTGGTACTGCCTGGTTCCTTTAATGGGGTGTCAGTCAGAGGGCTGCGTTCTTTCCATCAATGCCAACGCTTACCCGTTCCATGTGTGTACTCCTCTGTGTATGTGTTAGACTTAATACAATGGAGCGAAACAGGAAAAAAGGCTGCAGGGATCCTAAACCCGGGACGTGAATACAGACACACCATTCCAAGAGGCCACTTTGACTTCACTGTACCTGCAGCCTTGGGTTTCTCGTGACAGGTGGGAGGTGACATGAGGGTGAGCACCTAGGCTCCGGAGGGGTCAGCTCTGGGAACGAGGCAGCTGAGCCCGGGCTGGCTCTGGTTTCTTCCTGTCTACCTCCACCCTGCTGGGTCTGGGGAGAGCTCTCTTAGCTACAAGGTGGCTGCTTGGGTTGGGAGAGCCCCTGAAGTGGCCCTTTTCCTTGCTTTTGGGATGCTTGGGGGTGTAAGCACGGTGATGTGTGTACCCCCAGCTGGCTGTGGGGAGTCCGGCCAGCCTGTAGAAATTGCAGAACACGAGCGGAGCTGCAGCCCCGGGCACAGACATCCTCACCCCTCTGACAGCAGCTGGCTGCCTGCAAAGCACTGGCATTTCAAGGCCTGTGCCAGCCTGTACAGTAAGCAGCATTCATTGGGAGGGCGGCTTCTCCATTCACATGGCAGTTATCTGCTGCTGAAAATACCAGAGCACCTTATGTAAGACCGCAATTACGTCGTTAGCACCTCGTGTAAGAGCACTTATTTTACCATGGACACTTAATCAGTTGCGTGTTGGATACTGACGATCCGGTCCTGTCTCCATCACCCAGCTGTGCTCATGGCTAAATTTACATGTTGGTGCATTTTCATCTTTGGTTCTGGCCCATCCAAGCCGTTGAGTGACGCCAGGATTTAGTCTCCTCTTGCCCAGCCCCTCCTTCTCACTCATGGATGGAGTGATGGAGTACCCCCTGACTGACAGAGGTGCAGCATCTCAGAGTTAGGAGGCCTGCCTTCCTCATCCAAGAGTCTTCTCCACCAGTAGCCGGATGGGCGACCATTTGGGCTGTGCTCCAAGGCTGCCGATGATGTCGGCAGCCTGTCTCGGGGTGGGTGATGGTTTTCATAGTAAGGAGGAGCCACAGAGCTGCACTGAGGCCTGGAGTATCCCAGGGAGGTATGAATGCCTGGCTGAAGCCGACAAGGAGACATATCATAGAGATGGGGTCTGTAAATCTCTGGGATCCGAGGCTTGGAAAGGAACATCATGGTGGATGCAGTTTGGTGAGAACTGTTAAAATAAATGCAGCTGCCCTGTGACATAGTGATTCAGTGATTCTACTTCTCAGGATCTACCCTAAAGAAATGCTGGCACCTGTGCACAGGTGACAACTTCTGGGACAGCCTTTGTGACGGTCTGTGGTGGTGAAAGATCGTACACAGTCTGAATGTTTGTTCGTGGTGAGACAGCTCCGTAGACTTGTATTTTCATACCTTGGGCTACTGCGCAACGTTGAAAAGGAATTAGAACTTTATATAAGAACATGAATGACAAGGTGGGCAGATCACCTGAGGTTAGGAGTTCAAGACCAGCCTGGGCAACATGGTGAAACCCCATCTCTACTAAACATGTAAAAATTAGCCAGGTGTGGCAACACACGCTTGTAATCCTAGCTACTTGGGAGGCTGAGGCAGGAGAATCACTTGAACCCGGGAGGTGGAGGTTGCCATGAGCTGAGATTGAGCCACTGCACTCCAGGCTGGGCGACAGGGCAAGACTCTGTCTCAAAAAAAAAAAAAAAAAAAAGTGATGTCTAGTCTAAACCCCTTCCTGAGTGGAGATTCTTTGCTCCATTGGTCCCTGAGTCCTAGGTGGACTGAGACAGAGAGCTTCACTGCATAATGCTTTGCATTCAGGGGCAGCTCAGAAGGTGGAAATTCTTCCCTCTTTTGAGCTGAAATCTGCCTTTGTTGTCCCTCTGGAGCCTACACCTTCCCTTTTCCATGGGGCAAGAGTTTCATTGGTTTACGTTCCCTCTTGTGCCCTCCTCCTCTGGGCACCTCCAGGGTTTCCTGTTGTCTATAGGGTAATACAGCCCATGGCCTCCCGGGTCTGTGGTGCCGGCTCCTTGCTCACGCTCTGCCAGGCTCACCAGCCATCCCCTAAAGTCTGTGCAGAACTGGACTGTCCGCCTGGATGTTGCTTGACTTTCACATAAGAGTTCTTTAAAAAAAAAGTCTTTTTTTTTAAATTATAAAAGTAATTCATGTTCATTGTGGAAAATTTAGAAAATGCAGAAAGCACAAAGAGGAAAATAAAAATCCGTGATTCCCAACCTCCAGAGATAGCCAGTGTTTACTGCTTAAAAATGGAGATGATACTGTAGACATGATTTGGTAACCTGCGTTGATTTCTCTATATTGACTGACATATGTAACAAACATTTTTCCCCTCCTTTTGGCATTTTTCTTTGGTTATTTTTCTCTTTTTAAAGATCTTGTTGCATACCAAGTATTACGATTATTTTTAAACATAGAGAAGGTTTAAATGTTTATGTGGTAATACAGACTGAACGTTTGTGTTCCCCAGTATTCCTGGGTTGTGGCGTTCACCCCTAGTGCAGCTGTGTGTGGAGTCAGGAAGTAATTAAGGTTAAATGAGGTCAGAAAGGTGGGGCCCTGATGCAATACGTTAGTGTCCGTATAAACACAGATGCTGGAGAGCGCTCTCCCTCCCCTTCCCCATCCCCCTCCCCTCTCCCCACTCTCTCTTTCTCAACCTCTCTCTTTGTCAATCTCTCTCTCTCTCTCTCTTTTTAAACTGAAAAAAAATGTTTTATAACAGAGATGGGGTTTTGCTGTGTTGCCCAGGCTGGTCTCCATCTCCTGGGCTCAGGCAACCCTCCCACCTCGGCCTCCCAAAGTGCTAGGATTACAGGCACGAGACACTGCGCCTCGCCTCTCTCTCCCTTTGTCAATCTCTCTTTCTCTTTCTCAATCTCTGTCTCTCTCTCCTTTTCTCAATCTCTCTCTCCCTCTCTCTTTCTCTCTCCTTCTCTCTCTCTCTTGCTCTCTCTCTCCCCCTCTTCTCCCCACTCTCTCTGTCTCTGTCTCTCCCTTCCCCTGGGCCCTCACCATGTCCACAAGCCAGGAGGAGAGGCCTCGCCATAATCGGAGCCAGCTGGCACCTTGATCTTGGACTCCCCAGCCTCCAGGACTGTGAGAAGAAATGCCAGCTGTGTAAGCCGCCCTGTCTGCATATTTCATGGCAGCCTGAACTGACTAATGCATTTCATTAAGTCCATCAGTCTTTTCATCTTATGATTTTTCAAAAACCCTCTGTTTTGGGGTTTGAAACGTTTTCCTCACCCCAAGTTCAGATAAATGTTCAGTTCTATATTTTCTTCAGGTTCTTTTTTGGTTTCAGCCTTTCCATTCAGCTCTCTTTGACTTTCAATGCTAATCCAATCAAAATTTATTTTGTTTTGTGATGGAAGGGAAGACCTCGATTTTCTTTCTTTCCAAATTGTTGACCTATTATTTCAGTTCACTTTCTTTGCCCACAAGCTGTATTTTAAACTTAAATTTAATTTATTTTTGGAAGATACATTATGAGCATGTCATTTAAGGGGCCGGGTGCAGTGGCTTACGCCTGTCATCCCAGCACTTTGGGAGGCCGAGGCGGGTGGATCACCTGAGGTCAGGAGTCCAATACCAGCCTGGCCAACATGGTCATCCCCATCTCTACTAAACCCCATCTCTACTAAAAATACAAAAATTAGCTGGGTGTGGTGGCTGGCACCTGTCATCCCAGATACTCTGGAGGCTGAGGCAAGAGAATTGCTTGAGCCTGGGAGGCAGAGGTTTCAGTGAGCAAGATTGCACCACTGCTCCCCAGCATTGGCAACAGAGCGAGACTCTGTCTCAAAAAAAAAAAAAAATCATGTCATTTAAAATTCTAAAGGTGTAAAAAGGCAAATGGTGAGAGTCTTCCTCCTCCTTTATCCCTCAGCCTTTCGGGTCCAGGAACTGGTGTTACTAGATTTGAGGTATCCTTCTCTTTCCCTAACTGACTTGAAGTATTAGCTCATCTGCACACTGCACTTTTCTTTACCCATTTTTTCCCTTTTAGATTATTATTGATTTGTAGGAGATCTCCGTATGTCCGCGTACTGGTACTAATCAGATGTCTATTATGCTGCAAATATGTCTCTCAGTTTGTGGCTTGCTTTTTATCTATCTTAATGCATCTTTTGAACAAAATAGTCAAATGCTTCAGTAAGCTTACCATGAACTAAAGTTCAGTAGTTGTTTATGGTATTTTTCTTCCATGGTAAAACATGCATGCAACGAAATACACAAATCTTACCTGCTCCATCTGATGAGCTCAGATAAACACGCAGGCTTGTGCAACCCAGGCTGCTATCAAAATAGAGAACGTGACCACTGTCCCAGAGCATTCTCTCACACCCCGTCCCCGTCAATCCCTGTCCCACTCCCCCCGCAGTCAGCCACTCTCACGCCCCGTCCCCGTCAATCCCTGTCCCACTTCCCCTGCAGTCAGTCACTCTCACACCCCGTCCCCGTCAATCCCTGTCCCACTCCCCCCGCAGTCAGCCACTCTCACACCCCGTCCCCGTCAATCCCTGTCCCACTTCCCCTGCAGTCAGTCACTCTCACGCCCCGTCCCCGTCAATCCCTGTCCCACTTCCCCTGCAGTCAGTCACTCTCACACCCCGTCCCCGTCAATCCCTGTCCCACTCCCCCCGCAGTCAGCCACTCTCACACCCCATCCCCGTCAATCCCTGTCCCACTCCCCCTGCAGTCAGTCACTCTCACACCCCGTCCCCGTCAATCCCTGTCCCACTCCCCCTGCAGTCAGCCACTCTTTGGAGTTTTTTCACCAGAGATTAATTTTTTTTTTTTTTTTTTTTGAGACAGAGCTTTACTCTTGTTGCCCAGGCTGGAGTGCAATGGTGCGATCTCTGCTCACTACAACCTCCGCCTCCTGGGTTCAAGTGATTCTCCCGCCTCAGCCTCCCGAGTAGCTGGGATTACAGGCGTGTGCCACCACACCCAGCTGATTTTTCTATTTTTAGTAGAGACTGGGTTTCACCATGTTGGCCAGGCTGGTCTTGAACTCCTGACCCCAGGTGATCTTCCAGCCTCAGCCTCTCAAAGTGCTGGGATTACAGGCATGAGCCACTGCACCCAGCTACCATAGGTTAATTTTACCTGTACTGGAACTTCATGTAAATGGGATCATACAACGTGTGTTCTTTTGTGAAAGGCGTCTCTCGCTCTCATTTGGCATGACGTTGTTGAGATTCACCCCAGTTGTTGTTTGGGTCGGTAGTTGCTTCCTTTTGGTCAGCAGTATTCCTTGCTATGAGTATGTATAAGTTGCTTATCTATTCACCTGGTGATGGACCTCTGGGCTGTGTTCATTTTTGGCTATTATCAATGGAGTGGCCATAAGTATTCATGTTGACCTTGTTTTTCATTCCCGTCATATACTTTGTTTCTCTTACCTGTTTTTTTTGTTTGTTTGTTTGTTTTTTGATACGGAGTCTCGCTCTGTTGCCCAGGCTGGAGTGCAGTGGCGCGATCTTGGCTCACTGCAAACTCTACCTCCCGGGTTCACGCCATTCTCCTGCCTCAGCCTCCCGAGTAGCTGGGATTACAGGCACCCGCCACCACACCCAGCTAATTTTTTATATTTTTAGTAGAGATGGGGTTTCACTGTGTTAGCCAGGATGGTCTCAATCTCCTGACCTTGTGATCCGCCCGCCTCGCCTCCCAAAGTGCTGGGGATTACAGGTGTGAGCCATTGCACCTGGCCCTCTTACCTGTTTTACTTTTCCTAAGAGTGGAATTGCTCGGTCATGGGATAGGTGAACGTTTTTTCTTAAAAAATTGAAGCATAGTGCCTGGCATGGTGGCTCACGCCTGTAATCCCAGCACTTTGGGAGGCTGAGGTGGGTGGATTGCTTGAGCCCAGGAGTTTGAGACTAGCCTGGGCAGCATGGCAAAAACCCATCTCTAAAAAAATAGAAAAATTAGCCAGGTGTGGTAGCATGCACATGTAGTCCCAGCTACTTGGGAGGCTGAGGTGGGAGGTCAAGGCTACAGTGACCCTTGTCCCACTGCACTTCAGCTTGGGTGACAGAGCAAAACCCTGTCTCAAAAGGAAAAAAAAAAAAGGAAGCGTAGCATCTCTTCAGAAAACTGCATGCATCAGAAGTATTCTGCATTTTCACAAGGTGGACACACCCCATGTAGTCATCACCCAGCTCAAGGGATGGGACCTGGGCCCACGCCAGGCTACTTTGCTGGGCTGTCCACTCCGGGATCTGAAACTTGGCAGAGTGAAGCAAGGGGAGAAAGGATTTTGGAGCCACTACTTCCATAGTGGAAGGTGATGGGACTTGAAGGCCTTAGACTGTTGCAGTTTCCATCAGGGTCTTCAGCCTTCTGATTGGTTCTGAGCTACGAGGTATCCCCAAGGTATTCTGCCAGTACATTCCTTTCTGCTTAAGTCGTGCAGACTTGATTTCTGTTGCTTACAACCCCAGTGGATACAGTGTGCGCAGCCAACTACGAGAACCAAAACTTTAGTGGAGTATACCCCTTGTATTGCTAAAACTGAGGGTGTAATTGACCTTTAACCAATCCCTGAGTTTGTACATGACCCCATTTGGACAGTTGGATTCCTGGGCTGACAATGTGAACTCTCAAACAGGCAGTCACTTTAGATCTGACTTGAAAGTTTGTAACAAACTACTTCAAACATTTGGGACTCGTAAAGTGTTATTTTTTTTTTCTTCCTAACTTTAAATTTAGTTCCCAGTTTTGAAACAATTTTCTCTCAGTCCCCAGTGGGACGTTAATGGAGAACACTGGCTTAATTTAGAAGGTGAGATGTAGGAATGCATGTTCTTTTCTGGACTTAATTTTTGGAAACCAGGTTCATTCCTCTTGCTCCTTGATGTAGAGTGTCAGGGATTAGGTGAGGGGGTGTTTGGTGCAGACCATCCCTTGAGGACTGTTTGCTTAAGAAGGCCCAACACCTAAACTCTTCTGCTCTAAGTGGGGCCTCGTTTAAAAATGAAAAAGGAAATGAATTCTCTTCTGGTTTCTTTTTTCAATGTCATCCAATCACACAGATTAGTGATAAGAAATGGCCCAATTTCAACCGGTCTCTGAATTCTGACAGCTCATGTCCTTGTTAATGTCAGGGTCTGGGGAGCATCTGATTAAGGAGAAGGTGCCATGGGTGAGGTTCACAGATGAATGTGAAACTATCTCTAACCCCAAATCCGTCCAGGCTGGGTCTCGAAGCAGCCGCTCAGTTGCCTGTATTTTCCCAGCGTTCGCCCCTCCCCTCCCCACCACCACCGCCTGTTTTGAGAGCTGATTCCTGCAGTGACCTTTCTTTACCTGCCACTTCCAATCCTGCTGGGGGCTTCCCTCATTTGCAGAAACCACTTCTCGGGGTCCAGTGATGCCCATCTGGACATGAAGACCTTTCTCACACCATCTGGCTTGTTATGACCTTCTACTTCCGACGTGAGCTGAGCAGAAACAAGACATGGTTCTTTGCTATGAAGTCTCTTAGCCCATTCAGACTGCTGTATGAAAATATCATCATCCGGGTGGCTTATAGACAACAGACATTTATTTCTGACGGTTTGGAAGCTGGGAAGTTCAAGATCAAGGTGTGGGCAGATTCTGTGTCTGCTCAGGGCCCATTTCCTGGTTCATAGATGGTGCTTTCTTTCTGTGTCCTCACATGGCAGGAGGGGCCAACGGGCTTCCTTAAAAGCCTCTTTTGTTTATTTATTTTTTTGTGGGAGACCGGAGTTTTATTATTACTCCAATCAGTCTCCCCGAGCATGCAGGGATCAGAGCTTTTAAGGATAACGTGGTGGGTGGGGGAAGCCAGTGAGCCAGGAGTGCTGATTGGTCAGAGATGAAATCACAGCAAGTCAAAGCTGTCTTCTTGTGCTCGGTCAGTTCCTGGGTGGGGACCTCAAGATCAGATGAGCCAGTTTATTGATCTGGGTGGTGCCAGCTGATCCATCAAGTGCAGGGTTTCCAAAATATCTCAAGCGCTGATCTTAGGAGCAGCTAGGGAGGGTCAGAATCTTGTAGCCTCCAGCTGCATGACTGCTAAACCATAATTTCTAATCTTGGGGCTAAAGTTAGTCCTACAAAGGCAGACTAGTCCCCGGGGAAGAAGGAGGTCTGCTTTGGGAAAGGGCTGTTACCGTCTTTGTTTAAACTATAAACTATAAACTAAGTTTCTCCTAAAGTTAGTTCAGCCTACGCCCAGGAATGAACAAGGGCAGCTTGGAGGTTAGGAGCAAGACGGAGTCGGTCAAGTTAGATCTAACACTGTCTCAGTCATCATTTGGCAACAGTGGTTTGAGTCCCTCCCTTTGGGTTTTATAACACCTTAATCTTAAGGGGTAGAAAAGCCCCTTTTACAAGAACACTAATCCCATTTATGAGGACCTTGCCCATACGACCTAATCACCTCCTAAAGGCCCCGCCTCCTCATGCCTTGGGGTGTTAGGGTTTCAATACGGGAGCTTTCGCGGGTCGCAAACATTCAGACCACAGCGGTCTATCGTGGGGATACTGCTGAGGAGGTAACTGCTTTGAGCGTCTTGCTCGGCGAGAGCTGCAGGTAGTTCTGGATGTGGTGGGTCTGCCTAGAAGGAGCTTTTTGTGTGGTTTGTTGGTAACTTTCTAATGAATGGAATTAACATTATTGGTTTATTATGGTGCTTTTTAACCAGGTGGAAGACAAGTGCCGCCATGAGGGGCACCTCTTCTGATCCTGCACAGAAGCACCGTGAGGGCTGGGCTGGCCTCAGACTCCTCACAAACCCCTCTTCAGGTTTCAGCATCAGAGGGTGAACAGAGTCACCCTTGGCAGAGGGATTGGGAACTAATTTAGCAAAGGGGGAAACTTGGGAGTAAAAAGGCCCTATATCGAATCAAAATTTCCTTTACGGAACTGAAAATTTCCATCAGGGTCATGCTCCAAGTCAGAGTAGAAAGGACAGGCCAAGGGGGCAGCCAGGACTCACCTGCGGGGTGACCTCACTTTGCACAGACCTGGTGTCCAGGGCCCAGGCTCGCCTCGTCACTTGAGTCTGGGTGTCATTGAGGCAGTAAGCAGGGTTAGCTCCTGGGACAGGTGAGGGTGCCTCCCCCTGCCCCCGCCAGTCCAGCCCCACAACGGAGGAAGAACTGCAGATTTTCATCTGTGCAGATGAACTCAGGCCCAGTGGTGGAATTGGTGAGGGGGAAGGTGGAGAAGGACAAAGCCTAACTCAGCAAAGCGCCTACTGTGTGCCTGGCATGGTACTCCGCGCTTAGTACACTCTGGGCTACTCCAGGAGCTGCTGGCACCAGAGATGAGTTGCGGGACTGTAGGATTCTGGGAACTTTATTCTGTAAGTACAGAGGAGGCTGGTGGATCTGCCTATGGAACTCATCTGGACCCAATTGTGGGCCACATGAAGACCTTCGCCAGCACTCACTCCCAGCCTTCAGACTCACAGGGGCATATGTCTTAGCCATCGATTGCCACCATATTGGGATGCAACAAGCTGCCCCAAACCCACTGGCATATGACAGTGAGCATTTATTTCCCTCTCACGTAGCTCGGAGTTGGGTGAGGTTTGGCTGACCTAGGCTGCCCGCAGGAGGACTTGGCTGACTTCAAGCTCCAAGTGGGTTTAGGTCTGTTCCATGTGTCTCTGATCCCATTTGGACCAGAGACCACCCAAGGCCTGTTCTGTCTCATGGTGACAGGAGGAGCACAGAGACCACCCAAGGCCTGTTCTGTCTCATGGTGATAGGAGGAGCACAAGAGACCACCCAAGGCCTGTTCTGTCTCATGGTGATAGGAGGAGCACAAGAGACCACCCAAGGCCTGTTCTGTCTCATGGTGACAGGAGGAGCACAAGAGACCACCCAAGGCCTGTTCTGTCTCATGGTGACGGGAGGAGCACAAGAGACCACCCAAGGCCTGTTCTGTCTCATGGTGACAGGAGGAGCACAAGAGACCACCCAAGGCCTGTTCTGTCTCATGGTGACGGGAGGAGCACAAGAGACCACCCAAGGCCTGTTCTGTCTCATGGTGACGGGAGGAGCACAAGAGACCACCCAAGGCCTGTTCTGTCTCATGGTGACGGGAGGAGCACAAGAGACCACCCAAGGCCTGTTCTGTCTCATGGTGACGGGAGGAGCACAGAGACCACCCAAGGCCTGTTCTGTCTCATGGTGACAGGAGGAGCACAGTGAGGACCAGCTCAATCGTACATGTACATTTCCAGCCTTTTTTCACATCATATTCACTAACATCCCATTAGCTAACACAAGGCTCACAGCCAACCTCAACACAGGGCAGGGATGTACACTGCCTACTTGTAGGCCCTGGCATGGTGTGGCTGTTTACACCACTGCAGGGAGTGAGAAGCTGAGACCAGTCATGTAGCCTACTCTAGGATGAGTGTCAGTCGTTCGCTCAGTAAATATTTATTGAGAGTTCATAGTGTGCCAGGCGTTGAGCAGCTTCGGGCAACAGAATGGTGAACAAGGCAGGCCTGGTTCTTCTTGCCTTATGGAACTTACATTCTAGTGATGGGAAAATACAGGAAAGAGCTCTGTCCATCATTAATTGTTTAATTACAACTGTGATAATCACTACAAAGGGGAATTATGGAGGAACGAGGTGCCGGTATCAAAGGGCCTGGCCTGGGCCAGGGAGGAAGATACGGTTGAATTCAGAATTGAAGGTGAGTGTTAATGAGGCAGGGAACACTCATGAAGATTAATAGCACAGCTGACTTCTCATCTGAAGCCCTGGAAAGCAGGAGGCAGTGGGTGGCACAGCCAAAGTGCTGAAAGAATTTAAAAAATTCTTTAAAGAATTCTATATCCACAAAAAACTATCCTTCAAAAGAGGCCGGGTGTGGTGGCTCATGCCTGTAATCCCAGCACTTTGGGAGGCCCAGGCCGGGGGATCACGAGGTCAGGAGATCAAGACCATCCTGGCAAACATGGTGAAACCCCGTCTCTACTAAAAATACAAAAAAAAATTAGCCGGGTGTGGTGGCGGGCGCCTGTAGTCCCAGCTGCTCAGGAGGCTGAGGCAGGAGAATCGTGTGAACCCAGGAGGCGGAGCTTGCAGTGAGCCGAGATCGCACCACTGCACTCCAGCCTGGGCGACAGAGCGAGACTGCGTCTCAAAAAAAAAAAAGGAGAAATTAAGACATCCTAGATTAATATAATAAAAACAGAGAGAATTTGTCACTGGCAGGCATGGCCTATAAGAAATCCTAAAGAGAATCCTTCAGGCCGACATGAAAGGGCACTAGGCGGTGACTGAAATCCATATGACGATACAAGGAGCATCTAAAGGGGTGAGTATATTCTGCTAGTAATTCTTCTGTCTGATTGAAAAGATAACTGCGGAAAGCAATGCTTGTTAAAACTTTGTTGATGGGCTTATAATGCACCAAGATATAATTTGTATAACAATAATAGCACAAAGGAGTGGAGGGGACAGAGCGATGTTGGAGCAAAGGTTTTGTGTACTATTGCAATTAGGTCAGTATTAGTCCAGGTTAGATTGTTTTAAATTAAAATGTTAATTGTAGTCTCCAAGGCAACCATTAAGAAAATAACTTTAAAAAATGGAAGAGGAGCATTAAGGGTTATGCTAGAAAATACGTATTCAACACAAAAGAAGGCAGAAATGGGAAAATATAGGAATAAAAAGACAAGACATATGGAAAGCAACTAGCAAAATGGCATAAATCCTATCTTATCTGTAATTACATTAAATACAAATGAACTAAATTCTCCAATAAAAAGAGCATGGCAGAACGGATTTACAAGAGACACACTTTAGATTCAAAGACACAAATGTGTGTAAAGTAAAAGGACAGAAAAAGATATTCCGTTCAAGCAGTAACCGAAAGAGTGGTGAAGTGGCTCCACAAGTAGCAGACAAAATAGGCTTTAAGGCAAAAATTGTTACTAGGGACAAACAGGGACATTTTATAATGACAAAGGAGTCAACCTATCAGGAAAGCCTAATAATTATAAAGCTGTATGCACCTAACAAGAGACCCCCAAAATACATGAACCAAAACCAACAGAAATGAAGGGAGAAATACAAAATCCAACAATAATCGTTGGAAGCTTCAAGGTCCCACTTTCAATAATGGATAGAATGAGTAGGCAGAGAACCAACAATGAGATAGACTTGAAAACACTGTAAATCAACTGGACCTAACAGACATCTGCAGAACTCTCCACCCAGCAACCGCAGGATGCAGGTTCTTCTCACGTGCCCGGGAGGACAGGCATCTGCAGAACACGCCACCCAGCAACCGCAGGATGCACGTTCTTTTCATGTGCCTGGGAGGACAGACATCTGCAGAACACGCCACCCAGCAATCGCAGGATGCAGGTTCTTTTCACGTGCCCGGGAAGACAGACATCTGCAGAACTCTCCACCCAGCAACCGCAGCATGCACATTCTCACATGCCCGGGAGGACAGACATCTGCAGAACTCTCCACCCAGCAACCGCAGGACGCACGTTCTTCTCACGTGCCCGGGAGGACAGGCATCTGCAGAACATGCCACCCAGCAATCGCAGGATGCAGGTTCTTTTCACGTGCCCGGGAGGACAGACATCTGCAGAACTCTCCACCCAGCAACCGCAGGACGCACGTTCTTCTCACGTGCCCGGGAGGACAGGCATCTGCAGAACACGCCACCCAGCAATCGCAGGATGCAGGTTCTTTTCACGTGCCCGGGAGGACAGATATCTGCAGAACTCTCCACCCAGCAACCGCAGCATTCACGTTCTTCTCACATGCCTGGGAGGACAGACACCTGCAGAACATGCCACCCAGCAGCTGCAGGATGCACGTTCTTCTCACATGCCTGGGAGGACAGACATCTGCAGAACTCTCCACCCAGCAACCACAGCATGCACGTTCTTCTCAAGTGCCTGGGAGGACAGACATCTGCAGAACTCTCCACCCAGCAACCACAGCATGCACGTTCTTCTCAAGTGCCTGGGAGGACAGACATCTGCAGAACTCTCCACCCAGCAACCGCAGGATGCACGTTCTTCTCAAGTGCCCGGGAGGACAGACATCTGCAGAACTCTCCACCCAGCAACTGCAGGATGCACGTTCTTCTCACGTGCCCGGCAGGACAGACATCTGCAGAACACGCCACCCAGCAACCACAGGACGCACGTTCTTCTCACGTGCCCGGGAGGTGTTCTCTGGGAGAGGCCATATGTTAGGCCGTAAAACAAGACTCGGTAATTTTTCTGGTCTTGCTCTGTTTCCCAGGCTGGAGTGCAGTGGCATGATCACGGCTCACTGCAGCCTCAACCCCCCAGGCTCTGGTAGTCCCCCACCTCAGTTCCCAGAAGTAGCTGAGACGGCAGATACGTGCCTTCACGCCTGACTGATTTTTGTTAAGATGAAGTCTCTCTCTGTTACCCAGACTGGAGTGCAGCGGTGCAATCTTGGCAACCTCCGCCTCCTGGGTGCAAGTGATTCTCATGCCTCAGCCTCCTGAGTAGCTGGGATTACAGGTTTGCACCACCAGGCTCAGCTAAGTTTTGTATTTTTGGAGGAGATGGGGTTTTGCTATGTTGGCCAGGCTGGTCTCAAACTCCTGGCCTCAAGCGATCCGCCTGCCTCGGCCTCTCAAAGTGTTAGGATTACAGGCATGAACCACCGCACCTGGCCTTAATAAATTTAAAAGGATTCAAGTCATACAAAGTACGTTCTCTAACTGTAGTAGAATGAAGTTAGATATCAATAAAGGAAATTTGGGAATTCACAAATGTCCAAAGTGAACACACTCCTAAATAACCAATGGGTTGGCTGGGCATGGTGGCTCACGCCTGCAATCCCAGCACTTTGGGATGCCGAGGCAGGTGGATCACCTGAGGTCAGGAGTTCGAAACCAGCCTGGCCAGCATTGTGAAATCCCGTCTGTATTAAAAATACAAAAAATTAGCTGGTGTGGTGGCAGGCGCCTGTAATCCTAGCTACTCAGGAGGCTGAGGCAGGAGAATCGCTTGAACTCAGGAGGCAGAGGTTGCAGTGAGCTGAGATCACAGCATTGCACTCCAGCCTGGGCAACAAGAGTGAGACTCTGTCTCAAAACAAACAAACACAAACAAACAAACACCAATGGGTCAAAGAAGAAATTAGGCCAGGTGCGGTGGCTCATGCCTGTAATCTCAACACTTTGGGAGGCCAAGGTAGGAGGGCTGCTTGAGTCCGGGAGTTTGAGACCAGCCTGGACAATATAGCAAGACCCTGTCTCTAAAAAGAAGAAGAAGAAATCACAGAGAAATTAGAAAGTAGGTTGAGATGAATGAAAATGAAAATATAACCTATCAAAACCTATAAAATGTATAGCTGTAAGAACCTCTGTTAAAAAAGAAGAAAAACTTCAAATAAATAATCTTCCACCTTAAGAAACTAGAAAAAGAACAGCAAACTAAACCCAAAGCAAGCAAAAGGAAAGAAATAATAGAGATTAGAGCTGAAAAATGAAATCGTGAATAAAAATACCACTTATTATATGATTCTGTTTATATGAAATGTCCAGATTATGCAAATTAATAAGACAGAAAGCAGATTCGTGACTTCTGGGGACTGTGGAGAAGGGAGGAATGGGAGGGAGTGGCTGCTAATGGGCTTCTTTCTTTCTTTTTTTGAGATGGCATCTCGCTCTGTCACCCAGGCTGAGCGCAGTGGCGCAATCTCGGCTCACTGCAAGCTCCACCTCCCGGGTTCACGCCTTTCTCCTGCCTCAGCCTCCCGAGTAGCTGGGATTACAGGTGACCGCCACCGTGCCTGGCTAATTTTTTGTACTTTTAGTAGAGACAGGGTTTCACCATATTGGCCAGGCTGGTCTCGAACTCCTGACCTCAGGTGATCCTTCCGCCTCGGCCTCCTGAAGTGCTGGGATTACAGGCGTGAGCCACTGTGCCCGGCTGCTGATGGGTTTCTTTGTGGAGTGATGAAAATGTTCTAGAATTAGGTAGCGGTAATGGTGGCACAACCCTGTGACTGTACCAAAAAACCACCGAATTGTAAACTTTGAAAAGGTACATTTTGTGGTTTGTGAATTCTATCTCAATAATGATG
The DNA here is from genome assembly GCF_000001405.40 of Homo sapiens. Classification (NCBI taxonomy): domain Eukaryota; kingdom Metazoa; phylum Chordata; class Mammalia; order Primates; family Hominidae; genus Homo; species Homo sapiens. The sequence continues at coordinate 365,119 of NC_000017.11, read as the reverse complement.
TTGACAAAATGAATTTTAAAGAGTTAATTAGGCAAAAGGGGTTGTGGGGAAAGAGTTGGGGGAAGCATTTCCCAGGCAGAAGAATCAGGGTTCCTGGCCCCCAGGGGAAAGCGCGCGGCGTGGAAAGGAAACCTCAGGCCCCTGGGGGGAGGATTTCGCTTGTATCATCAGAACAGTAGGAAGCCACTGGGGCAGTTTCAGGCTGGCAGTTCCGTGACAGGGCTGATGCTTTGTTTTTTATTTTTATTTATTTCTTTTTTAAATGCGCGTTACCTGGCAAGGGCTGACATTTTGGGGAGCTCACTGTGGGGATAGTGAGGAGAAGAGACCAGGGAGGGCCGGGAGTGGATTTGAGGAGGTATCGGCAGCAGCCCAGATGGAGGAGATTACGCTTCGGGAGGTTTATTCAAGGTCACTGTGCTAGATGGACCCGGACCTGGGTCCCTCTGCCACCGAAACCTTTGTTCTCCCCCGGCCACTGATTTGAATACTCCCAGGTATTCTCAGTCAGCTCAGCGTGGCGTGAGGTGGTTTTGCTGGATGGAAGGGTGGTGGGAAAGTGGACATGATATTAATCAGGCCAGCTAGGACTTGCGGCTCACTGGGGCTGGTTGCAAACAGCAGAGGCTGGACAAAAAGGGAACTTTACTGCCAAGGCCCTGGAGTATCTCATAGAAGCTGAGGAAGATTTCAACGCTCAGGCCCCTGGAGGGGCTGAATGGAGCACAAATGCTAGAGGGAGGGGCCCCTCTCTCTGTCCTGCTTCAGCTCCATGTTGGCTCCCCTCTTCTCGGTCTCACTGCAGGCCACCTTTCCGTTTCTGTCAACTGGACATTTCCATGAGGGGAAAATGGCCTCAGCCTCAGTGTGCATCTTACTGCAAAAGGCAGTTGAGTTGAGACTCCGTCTCTTACCCCATTTCCCAGATTCTTTTTGCTTTTTGTCTGTCTATCTGTCATCTATCTATGAAACTCTATGTATATATCCCTGTGTATATCTATCTGTCCGTCCGTCCATCCATCCATCCATCTATCTATCTATGAATGAGACTCATTGCAGCTTCGACCTCCCAGGCTAAAGTGATTCTCCTGCTTCAGTCTCCAGAGTAGCTAGGACCACACGTGTGCACCACCATACCCGGCTACACACCACCAAACCTGGCTACACGCCACCACACCCGGCCACACGCCACCACGCCCGGCCACATGCCACCACGCCCGGCCACATGCCACCACGCCCGGCCACATGCCACCACGCCCGGCCACACGCCACCACACCCGGCCACACACCACCACATCCGGCTGTTTTTTTTTTTTTTTTTTTTTTTTTTGAGACGGAGTCTCGCTCTGTCGCCCAGGCCGGACTGCGGACTGCAGTGGCGCAATCTCGGCTCACTGCAAGCTCCGCTTCCCGGGTTCACGCCATTCTCCTGCCTCAGCCTCCCGAGTAGCTGGGACTACAGGCGCCCGCCACCGCGCCCGGCTAATTTTTTGTATTTTTAGTAGAGACGGGGTTTCACCTTGTTAGCCAGGATGGTCTCGATCTCCTGACCTCATGATCTACCCGCCTCGGCCTCCCAAAGTGCTGGGATTACAGGCGTGAGCCACCGCGCCCGGCCCCGGCTGTTTTTTTTAAATTTTTAGTAGACAAGGCTCTACTGTGTCTCACTGTGTTGCCCAGGCTCGTCTTGAAGTCCTGAGCTCAAGTGATCCTATCTCAGCCTGCCAAAGTGCTAGGATTACAGGTGTGGGCCACTACTCCTGGCCTTACTTTTTTAAAATTTAATTTATTTTTTAAATTTTTCAAGAAAGAGTCTCGCTCTGTTGCGCAGGCTGGAGTGCAGTGGTATGATCATAGCTCGCTGCAGCCCCAAACTCCCGGACTCAAACGATCCTCTCACCTCAGCCTCCCAAATCACTGGGATTACAGGCGTGAGCCACCATGCCTGACCTATGTTTATTTTTTTGTAGAAATGGGGTTTGACTATGTTGCCCAGGCTGATCTCGAACTCCTGACCTCTAAGCAATCCTCCTTCCTCGGCCTCCCGCAGTGTTGTGATTACAGGAGTGAGCCACCGCACCCAGCCTTATTTCCCGGATTCTTAAGGGAGGGACCTTGATGTGCCAGTTTGGCTTAGGTGCTCCCCTGGAAGAGCCAGCTGTGCCCCAGGGGACTGGCCGCAGTGTAAACTCAGGGCCTCCGGAGCCCACCCCTGAAGGTGGCTGGACAGCTACAGGAAGGCCAGGGAGGGAAGGAAGGTCGTTGATGGCTGGCGAGGTCAGCTATGGAGGGGAAGGGACATCGTTGATGTGTGGCGAGGTTACCTGTATTCAAAGTCCCCTCCCATTTTCTTCGGATAACCTGCTGCCTGGGATCCGTCGGCCTCTAGGAATAAACCACATGAGACCCTATTTGGTCACTTTGTGTCCGGAATTGGTGGGTTCTTGGTCTCACTGACTTCAAGAATGAAGCCGCAGACCCTCGCGGTGAGTGTTACAGCTCTTCAGGTGGCGCGTCTGGAGTCTGTCCCTTCTGATGTTCAGATGTGTTCGGAGTTTCTTCCCTCTGGTGGGTTCGTGGTCTCGCTGGGCTCAGGAGTGAAGCTGCAGATCTTCGCGGTGAGTGTTACAGCTCATAAAAGCAGCGTGGACCCAAAGAGTGAGCAGTAGCAAGACTTATTGCAAAGAGTGAAAGAACAAAGCCTCCACAGTGTGGAAGGGGACCGGAGCTGGTTGCCAATGCTGGCTCGGACAGCCTGCTTTTATTCTCTTATCTGGCCCCACCTACATCCTGCTGATTGGTAGAGCCAAGCGGCCTGTTTTGTCAGGGTGCTGATTGGTGCGTTTACAATCCCTGAGCTAGATACAAAGGTTCTCCACTCCCCATCAGATTAGTTAGATACAGAGTTTCCACACACAGGTTCTCCAAGGCCCCACCAGAGCAGCTAGATACAGAGTGTCGATTGGTGCATTCACAAACCTTGAGCTAAACACAGGGTGCTGATTGGTGTGTTTACAAACCTTGAGCTAGACATAAAGACTCTCCACCTCCCCACCAGACTGAGGAGCCCAGCTGGCTTCACCTAGTGGATCCCGCACCGGGGCTGCAGGTGGAGCTGCCTGCCAGTCCTGCGCCGTGCACTCGCATTCCTCAGCCCTTGGGTGGTCGTTGGGACTGGGCGCTGTGGAGCAGGGGGTGGCGCTCGTCGGGGAGGCTCGGGCCGCACAGGAGCCCATGGAGTGGGTGGGAGGCTCAGGCATGGCGGGCTGCAGGTCCCGAGCCCTGCCCCGTGGGAAGGCAGCCAAGGCCCGGCGAGAAATCGAGCGCAGCGCCGGTGGGCTGGCACTGCTGGGGGACTCAGTACACCCTCTGCAGCCGCTGGCCCGGGTGCTAAGTTCCCCATTGTCCGGGGCCAGCAGGGCTGACTCGCTGCTCCGAGTGCGGGGCCCGCCAAGCCCACGCCCACCCGGAACTCCAGCTGGCCCGCAAGCGCCGCACACAGCCCCGGTTCCCACTGGTGCCTCTCCCTCCACACCTCCCTGCAAGCTGAGGGAGTGGGCTCCAGCCTTGGCCAGCCCAGAAAGGGGCTCCCACAGTGCAGCGGAGGGCCGAAGGGCTCCTCAAGTGTCACCAAAGTGGGAGCCCAGGCAGGGGAGGTGCCGAGAGCAAGCGAGGGCTCTGAGGACTGCCAGCACGCTGTCACCTCTCAACTTGAACTGATTGGCAAACTCAGCCCTTCGACTGTGTATCACCCCTCCTTTTTTTTGCCTTCAATTTCAGCACTTGACTGGGCAGGGAACATTCCAGAATTTAGTGTTAATCTTACTAGCTTTGTGAATTCCGTCACTTCCCCCAGAAAAGAAAGGACGGTCCATGCCGCCTGACAAACTTGCTGAAAAGGATTCTTGTTATTGTCATTGACTCACTTTCTCCTGTGATTTAAAACCCAGTGGTGCGGATTCAGGTGCCTGGAAACCCTGGTGACTGTACATGGGCCTGTGATGGGGGACAGGAGATGTCTGTGAGGTCATGTGGGAGGCACACGCAGGGGTCAGGTCTGTGAGGTCATGTGGGAGGAACACGCAGGGGTCAGGTCTGTGAGGTCATGTGGGAGGAACACGCAGGGGTCAGGTCTGTGAGGTCATGTGGGAGGAACACGCAGGGGTCAGGTCTGTGAGGTCATGTGGGAGGAACACGCTGGGGTCAGGTCTGTGAGGTCATGTGGGAGGAACACGTTGGGGTCAGGTCTGTGAGGTCATGTGGGAGGAACACGCTGGGGTCAGGTCTGTGAGGTCATGTGGGAGGAACACGCTGGGGTCAGGTCTGTGAGGTCATGTGGGAGGAACACGCTGGGGTCAGGTCTGTGAGGTCATGTGGGAGGCACACGCAGGCGTCAGGTCTGTGAGGTCATGTGGGAGGCACACGGAGGGGTCACCTGCCCCAGCGCCCCACGGTTTCCAGCCTTGGCCTGTCCTCTTTCACCTGGCCCACGGGTGATGCGTGCTGTGCTGGCCTTTCTGCAGGGGACAGTGCGGTCAGGGGACTGCTGTGGGCTGTCAGAGCCCCAGCCCTTTGCTCCATACCAGGGCAGCCGTTTCCAGTCCTGAGGGTTTTTGCGACTGATCCTGGCTGGGACTTGCTTCTTACTAGGAGAAGCAAGAGATCCAAGTCCTTCAGTCAGACGCTGCTCTCAGACATCAGAGGGGCAGGACACTGAATGCAGATGTGGGTTCTGAGGGCTCCTTTCTCTTTGAATTCCTGCAGCATTTAGTAGGAGGCCGTGCGGCTTGGTGTCTTATTATTTATCGTTGAACGCGGGCTGCCTGGAGTGTTGTCTCCAATGCTAATAATGAGGCCAGTGTCGTGCGTGAGGCTGGTGTTGACGGCGCTGTCAGGAACCTCCCATGTAATTTCTGTTACCACCAGGGGAAGTGAGCAGCGCAGATTAGATGATAGACATTTAATAATTGATAAAGCCTCAGATTGGCCGGGGTAAGGACTTGCGGGGATGTGTGTGTGTGTAACTTGTTTCCCTTCACAGTCATGTAGCTGGTCCGAGCTGGGACTGAGAGCCTGGCTTCTGATCTCTAACTCCAGACTCTGTTCATGACAGAATGCA